>NC_000010.11:6828181-6979696 GCF_000001405.40 Homo sapiens | reverse complement strand
ACACGCCAACTTGTTTCTCGCCCTCTGTATCTGGTCCTATGCAAATGCGTTCTGTGCATTGCCGCAGCCATATGTGTGGAGTTTAACAGACGCTTAAAATGTCTTTGGGAAGATTGCAAGATGATTTGGCTTTAACACGGAAAGTTATTGTGTACAAAGAAAGACATGGAAGCAGAGAAGTGGGGCGCACATTTGGTGTTAGGGAAACAATGACTTGTCATTAAAGGAATGACAGCAATTCCTTATGTTCTTGCAAAGCAGCAACCAAGTGTTTCATGGAATCTAAAAGAACACTTCTACAGGGAGAGCTGGATGCCTGTCTCTGCCTTCTGAGACAATGCAGAAAGATTGCCTATCACACCTTTCACACCAGCCAAGCAGGTGAGCGCCAACTGCAAAACTCACAGAGAGGCGAACAGTGGCTCGGAAGGGAAGCTGAGACAATAGGGAGAGACTTTTTTGTTGAAAGGAAAGCTGTCTCATCAGTGCTTTTGAAGGTACAAATGACAGAACGGTGAAAAAGGCTGTCCATCAATAATGGAGCCAAAAAGTAATATAAAAGCATCATTCCCTGAATGCGAAGCAGTTGTAGAAATGCAACTACCAATTTATTTTGCTGATATTTTCTTTTTAAGGTATGAACAAGACAGATAAATTAAAAATGCATAAATAAATCTAAAAGAGCTCTTTTGATAGGTGTGACACAGAACTTCTAAGTAGTAAGAACATGTTGTGCTTGGAGTATTTTTTTTCTTAGCAGTGTTATGTGCCTTACAATTAATTGGGATGTAAGATTTCACGAAACCCTAGTATATAAATGCTCTACCAGCCATTTCTTTTCACATTTTAACATATTGGAAGTGGAAGGAGGGTTGTTTTCTGTAAGCTCTAATGTTCTGGTTATTGGAGACAACCAGGAGGATACAGGAGGACTTTGTGCTTTCACAGAAGACTAATCTATAAAAAATTCACAATGTTGTAAAATACCATAAAAATGAACTAGCATGTTTCCCTGAATAAGTAACTTTACCTCATCAGGCATCATATTCCTTGCATCTAAAATTATAGGGTGAAAAAAATGGTTTCTAAGGACCTATCTGAGTCATAGTTTGAGGCAAGGAAAAGATGAAATGGAACCAATGAAGCCAAAATTAAGGATAGACAGACACAACTTTAAAAATGTTTTATTTGGAAGAAACAATCACATCCCACTTCTCCTTTTGCTGTCTGCCTGTAATGCCTACTTTCACACCCAGAAACTCATTCATTCATTCATTCATTCGTTCATTCATTCGTTTGTGTATTCATTTGTTCATTCATTCATTTGACATGTGCCCAGCATGTGCCCGTCAATGAGGATGAGAGAAGTCAGGTGCATGGGATGGTGCCATCCCTGCCCTCTCAGAAACGAGAGGGGGCAGCAGTAGATTTTATTAAGATTATTTTTCTGGGGACCTGCCGCAGAGCACAGAGCTCTTTGAGATCTGAATCTTGCTTTTAACAGAAATTAGTCCCCTCTTCAAGCAAAGAAATCCCATGGTTCACACTGATGTCTCCTCCTGCTCTCCTGCTCCCAGAATCACAAAGAACTTAGGACAGAGACGAGGAATCTGGGGAATGCTGCCGTGCTGTTTGGTCTTCTTAACCCACATGAGCAGGGTCCAAGAAGGTTTTCCTAGAAAAAGATGATCTGAGATCAGAGCCATTGAGTAGATGTGAAGTTAGAATCGCTAAGAAGAGCTGGAATTCCGGAGTTTCATACCGGCAATTTAATCGCTCTGACAAATGCACTTTGCTCCCGCTAGCAAGAATGTGTAGTCACCATATTAAATGGGATTATGCTAACAAATTTGTCCTGTCTAGCTCTGTGTTTGAGCAAACAGTCAAACAATGATTCGGTCTTGATTCAGGGAGAGGCTGCAGCTAGGCTGGTGGCACATTTCGGTGTTAATTGAAACCGTTAGCAACAAGGAGGGCAACTTTTATTTAATGGCCTTTAAAAGGGATTCTTTCCCTTCAGCATGGTATTATTTCATTTTTGATGACACCAAAACCTTTCCCTCTTGTCTGAAGAGACAGAAAGAAGCAATTGTTTTTGTTAGATGGTCTTCCAGTCCATGGGGACACTTCAGACCGGGTGTAGCTCTGCTTAGAAAGAAGCCACTGGAGTGAGAGTTTCTGGGCAAGGCTGGCACCCTGTGGGGTTTGACAGTCTCAGTTCAGGCATCTTTTGATTTTTTTTGTTGGGGGACACCGGGGTCCAGAAAAAGGTCCCCAGCTGAATGTGTAGCTATCATTAATATGACTCAATAAGTGAGTTGAAACCAAACCATCTAGACTTCTTTCTGGATAATGACAGATTTACTGAGTTACAGTTTAAGCGCTTCTGCTTTGTCCTCTTATCTATCCTTGCTCTGAAATATTTGCCCTTGATTCAGCAATTATCATTTTTATCTGCCTGGATATTTTATTATATAACATTATCATTACTATTGGAAATGTAATCAATTGTAGAGAGATAGCACACTAATATTTGCTCCTAAAAACATCTTCTAGAACTCCTGGGAAGAAGAGACCAGTAATAGCAGCACAACCTGTATTTGGATATATGCAAGTCTCCCTTTAATTTTTTTGTGTTCTCTCATCTCTTGGAAAAAGCAACTAAAGGAGCCAATACAATAGCTGTACAACTTTTGTTAAAAATGATGTCTGTGTGTGTGTGTACTTTCTCCAGCGAGTAAATTCGTGTGCATACATTCTAAACAGTTTGAAAAGACAAGTCTCAAAGAGGGACCTCTACGTGTTTGAATTTTCTACATTAACCACCTATTTATGAATAATTAAAAATGAATATAAACAAGAGAGGGTAGAGTGCCCAAGCAAATTTTTAGAAAAAGCATGCCCTTGTTAGTTAGAAAATAAATAATCACCAGGACAAAGCTTTCTGGGAGACCCGATCCCATGCAGGGAGGGTCTGAGTCATGAGGACAAGAAACTGCTGACACCCTGTATTAGTGTGTTCTTGAATTGCTATAAAGGAATGCCAGAGACTGGGTCATTTATAAAGAAGAGAGGTTTAATTGGCTCATTGTTCCACAGGCTGTAACAGGAAGCATGATGCTGGCATCTGCTCAGGTTCTGGGGAGGCCTCAGGAAGCTTGCAGCCATGGTGGGAGGAGAGTCTCACATGGCAGGAGCAGGAGCCAGAGAGTCAGGGCGGAGGTGCTGCACTCTTAAACAACCAGATCTCATCATGAGAACTCTCACTATTGTGATGAGAGCATCAAGAGGATGGTGCTAAATCATCCATGAGAAACAGCCCTCATGATCCAACCACCTCCCACCAGGCCCCACCTCCAACACTGGGGATTACACTTGAACATGAGATTTGGGTGGGGGCACAGATTCAAACCATATCACACCCTGAGCCATCGCTCTGGGGTGCTGCATGTTATCATCTTGTCTTACTTAATCTCACCACCAGCCCTCTGAGCTAGTACACTCTTGTGTCCATTGTCTAGATGAGGAAGTCAAGGTTCAGAAATCCCAACCCAGTTACCCTACGAGTGGGTGCTAGAGTTGGGATGCCTGCATCCTGCCTGGCCACAGAGCCTGAGGCCTGATCATTGGGCAGGGCTGCTTCCCCCGTTGGGCAGTAGTTATGCCAGGGAGAGGAGTGGAATGAACATTCTTCCTTAGGCTATTCCAGACGGATTCCTTTGCACTTTGGAACTCACAGGTTTGTGTGTGTGTGTGTGTGTTTGAGGGAGTTGTGAGAAAAAGCCTCATTTGATTGTCTATCCTGAATTGCAAAGTCTGAGAAGTCAGAGAGACCCTGTCTACTTTATGCCCTTTGTCTTAGCTTATGACTTAATTTTGCTCTTTAAGCTAGAGCATGGCGCTGACACAGCCCTGGGGGCAGGTTTGAACCTGTTTGAGATCGTTACATTGGCCCAGTCCTTTTTCTGCTGGTCTGTGTCACATATACATGTGTTGATCGAAGGAAGTAAGAGTGTGAGGGCATCCATGTCCCCAGGACAATGCGTTATTACAGGTGAAAAGTCAAAGACTCTCGTAATTATAGGACAGGCCAGGAATACTAATGAACGATTGGAGAATCATAGTAGAACTCTGAACTTTTGCACTCCAATTTCAGAAAAGAACTCAAGTCTAAACAACTCTTTGAAGAAAAAGGCCATTTGCAGCTGACACCTGAGCTTGCTTCTCTGCTACCTGTCTTCTAAAGGAGGTTTAAAAGACTCTGTTCACAGCTCGGTGTTTCAGAGTCTTCCACTGGACAAGAAGGCAGATGTTGTCACTGTGCTGTTTGGCATCTTTGAAGACAGCTTCTGAAATACAAATTATTTTATTTATTACCAACCTTAGTTGTGGAAGACAGTGGCCCCCGAAATGCTTGCAATCATAGAATCCTAGGACAGCAGAGCTGAAACAAGCCTTAGAGATTGTCTAGGCAGACCTGCTCCCTTCCTGGATAGCATGCTCCTTGAGGACATGGCTGTGCCTTCTTTGCTGTCTCTCGGGGTTTAACATAGTGACCGAAGGGGAAACTGAAGCTTAGAGAGGCACAGAACTTGTCCATTAATCAGAGGATGATTCACTGGCAAACAGACCATGGGTAGGTGAATCCAGGGGCCAAAATAAGGAATTACTTTGGAAAACATAAGCTGCAATCAGCTATATGACTGTGTTTCTGAAAAATAGTTTAGAAGAGAAGAGCTGGAAGAAGCCTCAGGGAATTCTCTTTCTCATTATACAGGTGGGGAAACTGAGGCTAAGTGAGGTAAAAAGGCCCCTGTGCAAGATCACACAACTGACCTGTAATAAAGAGATCTAGTGCTGAAATCCAAATCTTTTAACTAATTTTTGTGGTATATTCTATGAAAAAGGCTACCTCTTACACAAGAGTAATTTTTTCTTCTCCTGCAGGTTTTATCAGTGAATAAGTTGCCATGAAGGAGTTAGATCAATGGGTTCCTCTATAGTGGAAAAGGGTAGAGAGAGAGAAAGGGAATCCCATACACGACTGCACTGCCATAGGTGTCACTGACTGCCACTTTCTGCTAGAATTCAGTTATTTCTAAGGCTGGTTTTCTCCTGGTCTCTGTCTGTATGTCTCTCTCTCTCACTCTCTCAAGAATTCTACCTCAGTCACTAGTAAAAACAAAAACTCCCACTGTCCATTGGAAAGTTAGCCAGGCTAATGAAGGAGAAATTGACAAAGACCGTGTTTCCACTCAAAAGCACGTTGCTTTTCCCCTTTTTGCCCAAGTAGATGTGGCCTGCCAGGGCTTCCTTCCTTCAGCTGGGTGGCTCCTTGGAATCTTGAAAACAGCCCAAGAGGTTCTTTAGTGGATGGGCAGAATGGATGTTGTTGACATTTCTGCAGAACAGAAAGATGGTAGCTGCTGTCAAGATCTGACTTGCTGCTGAGGTTGAGTCCTCAGGGAGAGACAGGAATTTGTTCTGAACAAACTGTGGAGCCTATACAACCGAGAAAAGCCTGCATCCTCACTGTGCTGTCTGCAGGCCTGTAGGAAGTGGTGAGCAGAAGTACGTTGTTAGCGTTCCTGTCTTGAGGCTTTCCACCCCGGGTGCAGTCAGGTTCTTCACGTCTTCAACTGTAGATGTGGCTGAGGTTCAAGGGCTTATGTTGTGGCGGCGAAAGATTGAAATCTTGTGAGCAAGATTTAGATCATGCCTCAGCAAAATGACAAGCAAATATGTATCATGAACTTTGGGGTTTATTGTAAATAATCAAAATTCCAAATGCAAACTGTAGTATTTCCAGGGCAGAGAATATGTTCTATAGTTTTGTAATGAACACGTTTGGGTATATGAAGTAAATGTGTATTGTGTGTAAATACTTTATACCATAATAACTGAGAACAAATTCACTGGGGCTGGACATCCTGGGTTTGAATTCTGTTCAAACCACTTGCTAGCTGTTTTACCTTGGTTAGTTACTCAATTTTCCTAAACCTGTTCCTTTATCTGTTAAACATATATAAATAACAATACTTATTGCCATGTTTGTAAGGATTCAATGAGACGATGCTTTTAAAGAGTACTTCCTAAGCACTCAATATATTTAAATGTGATAATAATAATAATCTGTAAGAAATTAGGGTCAGTTTTTATACTCTGCAAGTGCTATGTTAAGAGTTTAGTTTCTGCTGTTACTAAACTTCTTCTCACTACGTAAGTTAATGCAGTTGACAGAATAAGGCCCAATTCATCGGTTTCAGTGCTTGAGGCTTAAGAATAAGAGATGAGAATGATGTGGTTTGGTGAGGGGCAGGCAGGTTTTGTTGAGATCCAATAAAACCAGTTTCCTCCTTTTGAATAGTAGCAGCCAAGAAGAGCCGCCAAGACCACCTATGCTGCCAGACACATCACTCAGAAAGGATGTCCAGATGGCAGGAGAATCTAGCCCCAGGATCGGGATGGAGATTGCGGGGAGGGAGTGGTAGTGATGGATGACATTATTTCCTCCTATGTCCACTTCATCCAAATAGGCTGCTGTCTTTTGATTCAGAGCCTCCTGTTCAGCCTGCTAACTGTATTGACCCAAAAGGATGGGTCTGGGCTATTTGCAGATACGGTACCAAAAAAATGGGCAAGGACTCCTGGAATCTTCTATTGACATTTTGTGCCTCAGGGCAGAGGCCTTCAGGTGTCTGAATGTAAGCATAGCAGACGTTTCTGTTAAGAAAAAGCAAGCGAGCATGTGTCAAAAATTCTGAATTTTTCAAATGCAGTTCATCTCTTTGGTCTTACCTGGTTTGCCACGAAGTCACTTTAAACCTCTTCTCAAATATCTTTCTCTAAATTACATTGTAAAGTGATTTGCTGTGTAAAAGGATAGAGAAAGGCCTTTGTAGGAAACAGATTGACTATACATTTATATCAGAGACAAATCTGAGCTGAGATTTCTGCCAGGGGATCATTAGGGCAACTTGCGATAAGAACTGGAAAATTATTTACAAATAAGATATTGATCAGAAGAGTGAATGGACACTTGAATATTTTTGACCCAGGAAAAATGAAAGAAAACAAACAAACAAAAATAACCAGAAAAGCACAGTAATGCCTGGGGAATGTGTCTTACCGATGGGAGTCCAGACACGAGGCTTTGAATCCTCAGTGGGGACTGATTTGTGACAGCTTCTGTTCTCTTCCTGCTTCTATGCAGTGAAAAGAAGGACCAGGATCCGGGAAGAGAATGGGAGGCTGGGTTGACTCCTCCCTGTCTAACCTAAGTGTCATCGCTAAAAGCATCCATAGGGAATTGACCCCTATGACATTTGCTGACAGGGAACACGCAGCAGCTAGTGATCTCTGAAAAACAAAGGAAAATGAGGACATTTAAGAATATCTGTTTAGGGCACTGTCAAGGGTTAAAAGAAATAAAGAACAGGGAACAGAAACAGCTACGTCATGTGGAGGACCCAGCACAAAATGAAAATGGGGGTCACCTTGTTCAAAAAGCAGAAAAAAAGGTCATTCGTGGGACTAAAATGTAAAGCTTTTTCTTTTCTTTCAAAGCCTCTCCCTCTCTCAACTATTCATGGCATTTTAAAATTTGCCATGTTGACTGAAGTAAAGAAAAATTAAAAATTAAAATGATTAGCATGGATTTCAGTGTTTGTCTTTATACTGTGCAATGCCAATTTTAAATGCAAATATCATTTAACTCGAATGCAGAATCACCAAAATCACACAGTTTCATAACTTACACACCTTGATTTTTTTTTTTCCTTAACAGAACAGTGTGTAAAAGAAACTAAATGCAACTTTGATGCCTGGAAACTGGATTTGATGTTCAGAGCTTGGTCTATACGTTATTGCAAACTGATCTGGCACAGCTAATCCTCATTTTCTCCTGCTTGACATAAACAATCTCTCAGGACATGGATGCAGACCAGGTCACTGTGCAACCAACAAAACCCCAGACATCCCCTTCTCTTGTTCACTGAGTAACTACTATATGATTATCAATTCCAGCCTTTTCCTCACTCTAGTCTGGCCTTCCTCTAGATCAGATTGATTGAGATACCCACTCAGAGTATTGCCGTATTTTCTGATGATACCTACGCTAGGGCAAACCTCTGCCTCCTTAGACTCTCCCCCAAATCACCCAATCAAAGCCCTCATCCTATAATAGGTTCTAACATCCCCTTATGGAGATGTCCCATGGTTCTCATGGTGTGAGTGCTCCCTCACTGCAATGAGTGGTCAACCCAACTTGTTAAACCACAGGTGTGCTCCTGGAGGGTAGCCAGTGGCTACTGTAATGGGCAGTGTTGTTCTGTGTTCAGTGTCTTGTCTAAAGGATCCAAGGAAAATCAGAGCCGTCGCTGTGGCTCCTAGGCAGGGAGAAATGGGGACTGGGATTCTAGAGCAATATTCTGGGAGCTCAACGTTGCTACAGGTAGACCTGGAGCTTTATAGGAGAGAAAGTTAAGATTCTAAGGTAAAATTTGATTGAGGAGGACAATGTGATTTAAGAGCAGAGTGTTGCCAGCGGTGAATGCTTCAGTTACAACTTAGGGGTGAAGTGAAGAAACCCAGGATGGGTGGGAACACAAGAGGAGAAACAGTAAATCCAGAGAGGGAGACCATTTCTGCCTCATTGACTTCAGAGCTGAATGAATCATATTCTCTTTTGGGGGAGATTGTGCCCTGACCTTGCTAGGGTATTAGTCTGGGTCATCTGTGAGCTGGGGACCAAGGTCATTTGATGCCTCCATACAACTGCACCCCTCTTCCGGCTCCAACTCACAATATTCCTGCAAGAGGAAATTCATCATGAGAAGCAAACCTGGCCCCCTGACAGGTGTTCGTGTTGCACAGGAGCTGAGGATTTGCAGCCTGCTAAGTCCTGTGCTTCAAGCAGAGGAATTAAGCGCCATCATGCAAGTGTATCCAATTTCCATTGGAGAATTGCTTTGCAGAAAAATGGCATGGAGCCTGCTCTCCTTTTGGCCAGTTGATTCCCTCAGCTTTCAGGCCCTGACTTAGGATGACTGCAGAGAGCACTCGGAAGGTAGGATGAGAGAGGCTTCGAGTAAAACCTCATTCTGTTTTACAATTCAGAGCTGAAATTGAAGCTGAGAGAGAAGAGCAGGGGACAGACTGGGGAAATGGATTTGATTATTGCATTAACCCACAGAACACTTCAGATGAAAACTTACATAGGGTAATCAATAATTCAGTCTTATCAGTTTGTTATTCTGGGCAGATGACATTTATTTTAATAGGCACTCCTTGGGTAGAGGGCATGACATTTTACTTCTGCTATGCTTCTTTTTTTGAAGCACACAAATGCCTTTGGCTGTTTATCCATTGCTGTCTGGTGCTTCCCAAGTTCCTTTATCCCTTCTATGTCATGTAAGTTTCAGTTGCCTAAGTGGAGAGGGATATATTCTCTTCTCTGTTCCCATTCAGTCTCTATCCTGCCTCTAAAACCCTGCTTTAAATCTCCTTTGTCTAAGACATTTTAGCTAGTTTAACTATACCTGACCAATCACTCCTTTTTGTCCCTAGAAATTGCTTTTGTAATTTGTATTGTATTTGTTTTATGTTTTTCAATGTGTTTTCTTTCTCTGAAGCTACTCTTTTTTAAAAAATCGGTTTTTTTTTCTGGCATTTCTTGCTAGATTTTAAAGTATCTGAGGTTAAAGATGGTGTCTTTCATTTGTCATTGCAACGTTCTTCCAACTGCTGCAACCGTGTCTCCCACTCCTCATTCTTGCAGACTGACATAGACTAACCACAGTCTGAGGGCCAAATATGGCCCTCCACCTGTTTTTATAAATAAAGTTTTATTGGAACACAGTCATGTTCATTAGTTTCTGTGTTGTTTCAGGCTGCTTTTTCGCTACAATGGCTGAGTAACAGCTATGATCATCTGACCCACAAAGCCTGAAATTTACTCTCTGGCTGTTTATAGGAAAAAAAAGTTGTGAGCTCTAGTACAGATTTATGCCCCCAGGCTTCTATACTTACCACAGAATTACAATGAAGAGAGAACATTAGGGTGTCAGAGGGGAAGGAGTACCCATGTTGAGCAGGCATGGTTTTGTGGGGGTTTTTTATTGAGCTATTTATTTATTTATCTCAATAGTTTTGGGGGAACAGGTGGTATTTGGTTACACGAATAAGTTCTTTAGTGGTTATTTCTGAGATTTTGGTGTGCCCATCACCCGAGCAGTGTACATTGTACCCAATATGTAGTCTTTTATCCCTCACCCTCTCCCACCCTATCCCCTGAGGCCCCAAAGTCCATTGTATCATTCTTATGCCTTTGCATCCTCATAGCTTAGCCCCTACTTATGAATGAGAACATACCTTCCATTCCTGAGTTATTTCACTTAGAATAATGGTCTCCAATTCCATCCAGGTTGCTACGAGTGCCATTATTTTGTTCTGTTTTATGGGTGAGTAGTATTCCATGGGGGTGTGTGTGTGTGTGTGTATATATATATATATATATATATATATATATATATATATATATATAATGTTCTCTTTATCCACTCATTGATTGATGGGCATTTGGGCTGGTTTCAAATTTTTGCAGTTGTGAATTGTGCTGCTATAAACGTGTGTGCAAGTATCTTTTGTATAATGAGTTCTTTTTCTCTGGGTAGATACCCAGTAGTGGGATTGCTGGATTGAATGGTAGTTCTACTGTTAGTTTTTTAAGAAATCTCCACACTGTTTTCCACAGTGGTTGTACTAGTTTACATTTGCACCAGCAGCGTAAAAGTGTTCCCTTTTCACTACATCCACACCAACATCTATTATTTGTTTTATTATGGACATTCTTGCAGGAGTAAGGTGGCAACGCATTGTGGTTTTGATTTGCATTTCCCTAATAATCAGTGATATTGAGCATTTTTTTCATATATTTATTGGCCATTTGTATATCTTCTTTTGAGAATTGTCTATTCATGTCCATAGCCCACTTTTTGATGGGTTTGTTTGTTTTTTTCTTGCTGATTTATTTGAGTTCTTTGTAGCTTCTGGATATTAATCTTTTGTTGGATGCATAGTTTGCAAAGATTTTCTCCACCTCTGTGGGTTGTCTGTTTACTCTGCTGACTTCTTTTGCTGTGCAGAAGCTTTTTAGTTAATTAAGTCCAATGTATTTATCTTAGTATTTGTTTCATTTGCTTTTGGGTTCTTGGTCATGAAGTCTTTGCCTGAGCCAGTGTCTAGAAGGTTATTTCCGATGTTATCTTCTAGAATCTTTATGGTTTTAGGTCTCAGATTTAGGTCTTTGAACAATCTTGAGTTGAATCTTACATGAGGTAAGAGATGAGGATCCAGTTTTATTCTTCCATGTGTGGCTTGCCAATTATCCCAGCACCATTTGTTGAGTAGGGTGTCCTTTCCCCACTGTATGTTTTTGTTTGCTTTGTTATGGACCAGTTGGCTGTAAGTATTTGGCTTTATTTCTGGGTTCTCTATTCTGTTCCATTGGCTTCTGTGCCTGTTTTTATACCAGTACCATGCTGTTTTGGTGACTATGGCCTTATACTGTAGTTTGAAATCAGGTAATGTGATGCCTCCAGATTTGTTCTTTTTGCTTAGTCTTGCTTTGGCTATTCGGGCCCTTTTTTTGGTTCTATATGAATTTTTGGATTGTTTTTTCTACTTCTGTGAAGAATGATGGGGCATTTTGTTGGGAATTGCATTGAATTTTGCTTTTAGCAGTATGTTCATTTTCACAATATTGATTCTATCCATACATGTTCATGGGGTGTGTTTCCATTTGTTTGTGTCATCTATTACTTCTTTCACCAGTGTTTTGTAGTTTTCTTTATAGAGGTCTTTTACCTCCTTGGTTAGGTGTATTCCTAAGGTTTTTTTTTTGTCCCCTCCCCCCCACCCCCCCGCAGTTATTGTGAAAGGGGTTGCAATAGCTGTGCTACTGATTTGTGTACATTAATTTTGTATCCTGAAACTTTGCTGAATTCATTTACCAGTTTTAGTAGCTTTTGGATGAGTTTTTAGGGTTTTCTTGGTATACGATCATATATCAGTGAACAGCAACAGTTTGACTTCCTTTTTGCCGATTTGGATGCTTTTTATTTCTTTCTCTTGGAGCAGATGTGGGTTTGAATCCTGCCTGACTTTGTCACTCCCTGGAGAATTTTCTGAAACCGTTAGCGTCTTAAATTTCCTCATTTTTAAAATGGGAACAATAATATCAACTTAGCAGGGCTGTTAAGATCATTACCTGAAATAAGCTGTTAAAAGTTCACAGCATAGTGTTGGATGGATTAAGTAATCACAGTAAAATAAATGCCATAATAATCATGACAAGGACAATCATCATTACCAAATTGTAGCCACTGTGTCAAAGAAAACGACACATAGAATGTGTTTCATTATTACTCTGCAGCCCCAAAGAAAGGGGGAAATGTTGGTATTGGGGAATTCTCTATGAAAATCATTCCTGGAGCCTCCTGACCCTCCTTCCTTCACTTCTCTTCAGAATCCTCATCTTCACCAATGCCAGCGGGCATTGTCTGCCATTCTTAGGCACCAAGATCCAGTATTTATATGCAGTAAAGGTGATTTGCAGCTGTCTAATCTCACATTATTCAGTTTGGTTCTGTAGCCTTAATGAATGCCATTTGGGGTTTCTTTGTTGCACTCATCTTTTCCTGCAGAATGGTAGTTGGAGAAGTGCCTGCTTTCACTTCCATTTCTGACCCAGGAAAGTAAAAGTAGGCATGTGTCTTTTCCACATCCACTGGATTTTGTTTGTTTCTTTTGTATTTTTTTAAGTCCTTTTCTGAATATCCGCTGTCAAATGAAGGCAGATATTGGAATTAGGCTCAACAAGTCGGGTAAAATGTGTTAGTTTTTTTGAGTTTAGCAATTTGTCTGCCATCTTGTTCTTGAATTCTATGGGGAATCCAACGGTAATAAAGCATGGGATCAAAGTGGCACAGCATGGGATTTTAGGTTGTTAAACCATTCAAGGGGGCAGCATAGAACAGTGCAAGGGACAGATGTTGACTCCTGTGCCCACCTGGTTCTGCTGGTGGTGAGTGGCTTCTTGCAGAGCTCTGGGAAATATCCTGAGGGTACTTCTGAGGATCTTAGCTGCAATGAGTCAGGGGTCAAATAGTGATGCCCTCCATGGTTGCCAAAGCAGAGAGGGGGTGAATCTTTTTCCAAATTGAGGAGCTCTTGTTTCCTTCTAACTCTAAGACTTCAATGTTTTCCAACATAGGTGCTATGTCCTAGTCCTTATTACATACCCATAGGGTCTAAAGCAACCTTATGCAAAATAGGTATTCAGCAAAATATTTAATAATCAAATTCATGATAGTGAGATCCCTGTATTTATCTATAGCTATCTGAAATTAAAATTTAAAAAGCCTAGCAAACATATTTATTTTCTACCTTAGTGTGATTATGAGAGGATAATAAATATTTGAGAAGAGTTTTGAGGATTTCAGAGGAAAAAAAATGCATCATATACTTTGAGCTGTTATTCCTTTCACTCCAGAGAGAGTGTACTTTGCAGTAGCCTCAGATCCCTATGGTTTGGTTTCTTGTTTGTATACTTGATTTCTTGTTTGTACACTTTTTTCAGTATCTTCCTGTATTTCTTCCTCTTTCTCTGCCACATTCTATAACTTCACCTTCACATCCACGTCACAAGTCACTTTTGACTACAGATTGAGGATGACAGTGATATGTTTAATTTTATGATGCGCCTCTGTGTCCTGAAAGGTGCAGGAAAACAAGTCTCCAGCCACTTTTACAGTTTAGACATTACACTGTGTTTTGTTTTTTCTCCCTCAGGGGAAGCACTTGAATCTGCCAAACTATAATTATTGTAAATATTATTTCATGCCTATAAGATTAGATTGTAAACTTGTGGATGTCAGGGGCCATGCGTTTGTATTCTCTCGATTAGCAAGCACAGTATAGAGTATTTAATCCACTATCAATAAATATCAGTTGAATGATGTTAAGGACTGAATTGTGTCTCTGTTGTGTCCCCCCGTCAAACACAAGTTGAAGCACTCCTCCCCAGTGTGCCTATATTCAGAGAAATGGACTTTAGGGAGGTAACTAAGGTTAAATGAAGTCATAACGATGTGTAATCTGGTAGGATTAGTGTCCCAATAAAAACAGACACAGTATCTCTCTCTCTCTCCACACACACACAGAGCAGGACTTATAAAGATACAATGAGAAGATGGCCTTCTGCAAACCAAGGAAAGAGACCTCATCAGAAACCAACCCTTCTGACAACTTGGTCTTGGACTTTCCAGCCTCCAGAACTGTGAGAAAATAAATGCCTGTTGCTTAAGCCACCCAGCGTGTGGTATTTGTTACAGCAGCTTAAGGAGACTAATGCAATTGGTTTACTAACTAACCGATAAGTAAATATTTTAGGTTTATTTTATTGTGGATAAAGTTATTCTAAATGCAGTGGTAGGTTAAAAGTTTGGTATTTTCTAAGAAAGCCTTGAAGCCCCAAGGGTTATAAAATTTGACAGATTTGGCCAAATTTCATATACAGCAAAAGATAAATAATATTATTTGAAAACGTGGAACTTTTTTGGCAGTTTGGAAATTCTAGGAAAAAAAAGATAATCTAATAGAAAGCTGGACATAGAACATAAAGAAGGAATTAACAAAATTAAAATACAAATGACTTATAAGCATGTGAAAAGATGTTAAATTTCATGAATAGACACAACTAATGTAAGATAATATATGTATTTTTGACATATTTTTAGTAACAGTTTTAATTTATAGGACAATTGAGAAGATCGCGCAGTTCTCACACTTCCCATGCCCAGTCTGTTCTGTGATTAACATATTACATCAGATTAGTAGACTGATACTGATGCTCCATTGCCTTAGTCTGCTCAGGCTGCTATAATAAAATACTATGCCCTGAGTGGCTTATAAACAGCAACTATTTATTTTTCACAGCTCTGGCGGCTGGGGTCCAGGGGAACGGCCCTGACAATTCAATCAATGTCTGCTGAGGGTTCACTTCTTTGGTCACATGAGGTTCACTTCCTTGGTCACAGAGGGAGCCTTCTTGCTGCATCCTCACATGATGAAAGGAGCTCACTGGAGTCACTTTTGTAAGGGCACTAATTGCATTTATGAGTCTACTAGTCTGTTTTCATGCTGCTGATAAAGACATGCCCAAGACTGGGTAATTTATAAGGAAAAAGAAGTTTAATGGACTCACAGTTCCACGTGGCTGGGGAGGCCTCACAATCATGGTGGAAGGTGAAAGGCACCTCTTACATGGCGGCAGACAAGAGAGAACTTGTGTGAGGAAACTCCTCCTTACAAAACCATCAGATCTCGTGAAACTTATTCACTGTCATGAGAACAGCATGAGAAAGACCCACCCTCCTGATTCAATTACTTCCCTCAGGTTCCATGCCACGACATGTGGGAACTGTGGGAGCTACATACAATTCAAGATGAGATTTGAGTGGGACACAGCCAAATCATATCAATGAGGGCTTTGCTCCCATGACCTAACCACATCCCAGAGGCCCCACCTCCTAACAACATCCCCTTGGGGGTGAGAATATCAGCATTTTAATTTGGAGGGGGAACACAGACATTCAGACTCTAGCAATAATTTATTAATTTAAGTCTATTGTTTATTTAGAATATGTATTTCTATGATTCATAAACTTCAAAAAAATGACAATCTCCAATGACAGCAGAATAGGAAATGTTATATTTAGTTGGTTATATGGTTATTCACTGATATAACTTCCTTGGAGAGCAATTGGACAGAACTATGAAAACATAAGCATGTGTGTCTTTAACACAGCAATTCCACTTGTAGGAATTTTTCTTACAACCATACCCACCCAAGTGCAGAAAGACATTCTTATAGGAGTGGTCTGTTTGGCAAAATTTATAACAACAGCAACAAAAACTATAAGCCACCTAAATGTCCTTCATACCACATGCACACAGAGGAAGGTGTATTTCTTAAAATCTATATAGATCTTATTTATATGGAGACTTATATATGATACATAAATGTATTTTTAGATTTCTATATAGTAACATAATGTGACATTCACAACCTGTTAAGTGAGGAAAGCAAGTGAAGCAAGTTGCTAAACAAGTGCATTTCTTTCATTTCTTTTCTTTTCTTTTTCTTTTTTTTTTTTTTTTTTTTTTTTTTGGTGACAGAGTCTTGCTCTGTGGCCCAGGCTGGAGTGCAGTGGTGCGATCTCGGCTCACTGCAATCTCCACCTCCCAGGTTCAAGTGATTCTCGTGTTTTAGCCTCTCAAGTAGCTGGGATTAAAGGTGTGCACCACCATGCCCAGCTAATTTTTGTATATTTTTCAGTAGAGCCAGGATTTCGTCATGTTGACCAGGCTGGTCTTGAACTCTTGGCCTCAAGTGATCCACCTGCCTCGACCTCCTAAAATGCTGGGTTTACAGGCATGAGCCACCACACCTTGCCTGACAAAGGTACTTCATGTGGGTGGGACAAAGTTTCCTACGTGGGTGTAGATGTAGTGTTGCTGTAAGGTGACCTATTTCTTCCTTACTATGCGACAGCACCCAAACCATGGGGCTCATGAGGATAATGAGGTTGGGGCAAACAGTCTAACCTTGCATCAGGGACACATTAAAACCAAAGACAGGAACATAATACAAAGGGCAGCACAGTTTTACATATAGAACATGGGTAAGAGACACATAAATACTGCAATACATAGGCACTCTGTCTTGGAAAATCCCTGAAGTTTGCCTGTGGCAGGATTGCAGCTCCTGCCTTACTATGAGACCATGAAGGGGGTTATGTGAGGTGGAGGGAAGGATGGACACGTGGTGTGGACAGGTGTGGCCCAGACATGGTGCACTGAGGTAGCCAGCTGTCCTTTGAGGTCATTGTGGGTGCGTTTCGCGGATTCCTAGGCTGTTGTGTGCAGCTGCGTTTGGCTAGTGTTTTCCAGATGAAATCACACATAAGAAAACAGAAAACTCCCGTTGCATTTAGATTGTTCCCCTAATATCTCAATCCCATTAGAACAAATTTGCATTTTCAAAAACAAGTATAGCAGAACAGACTATGTTTCAATATGGTTCTATATACCTGGGGCATATTTGGGGCAAGTCTGACTCCAAAATCTGAGAATGTTGACTCCATCCATCCACTTCTCTCCATCTTCTGATACTTGGGGTGTGCTGTGACTGGAATCTGAAGCTGGAAGGTTTGTATGTCTCCCTCTAGCAGCCAGGTCCTTTCAGCAAGGATTCACCACAATACAGGGCCAGGTGCCCAAGGAATGCACCTCTAGCAATCACTGTGGTTGGGCAAGGTAGGAGGGATAGGGCAAGGGCAGGGCAGGAGTGCTTCTGCTGGGGGTGCTTTGCACCAGGGAGTGTCTAAAAACCCTGGGTCAGTTCCCACCTGGCTGGAGGGGAAGTTGTCGGGATCCTTTCTTGGACCTGCTCTTGTAGATCTACTTGGAGCACTGCCCTGATAAGCATCATAGGGGCTTCTGAGTGTTAACCGAAGCCTTATTACTTAGTGACAAATGCACGCCCCAGGGCTGCAGAAAGCAAGTGATTGGTTATAACAGCGGTTGCAGATTTTTATAGCCAAGGCAAGATAAATGCTTCAACCCAAAGGTTATCACCTCATCCAAGAAGAAACACACACTGAGAATGTTGCAGAAGATTCTCCAGCTCCCAAATCAAAGGATCTCTTTTAACAGTTGTTTAAAACCCCAAGACAGTAATCCGCCCCTCAATACCAGCGTTAGAGTCTCCCATCAGGGGCCGCCTGCCCTTTCCCTCGGGGTTTCATCCTTTTCTTCCTGGACTAGGGCAACTTATTAAGTGGGCAACTTAAGTCCACTTTGTCTCCCTAAAGTTCATTCTCAGCGGAGCAGCCAATGTGAGCTCCTAAAAGCAGGAGTCTAACTGTGGTCTTCCCTTTAGCAGTTTCCTGTTGTTCTGGAATTACAACCCAAGTGACTCCTGAATGGGGTCTCCCAGGCACCAAACGGTCTGGACACTGCCTCCTTCCATTGTCATCTCTTGTCACCTTGTTCCCTTCTCCACTAAGCTTCCAGGCACACAGATGGCTCTTCTGATGCTTGAGCACCACACACTTCCCCCGCCTTTGCCTGAGCCCTCTCCTGGGTGCACTTCCTGAGTCCTTTGCTGGCTGAGCTGCCATCCATCATAACTTAAATCACACCACCTCCAAGAGGCCCTCTGGGACCACCACCCTCTATTAAGAATGGCATTCTTCCTTATCATCTGTCTCCACCCTCCTTCCAAATGGAAGTTCCACCATGATTGTGAAGCCTCCCCAGTCATGTGGAACTGTGATTCCATTAAACTTCTTTTTCCTTATAATTACCCAGTCTTGGGCATGTCTTTATCAGCAGCATGAAAGCAGAGACCTCACTGCTTTGCGTACTGCTGCATTCCCAGCATGAAACCCAGAGCCCAGCACATGGCAGGTGCTTAGCAAATGGCCATGAAGTCAAAACAACGGGGAGGAAGCACTCTAAATGTTCACAATGGTTAACTTGGAAAGGGAGCATCTTTGGCATTTTACTTGACATACCCCTATATTGCTTAATTTGCAACAAGAATATGCAGCTTCTGTAATTCAGAGAAAAAGCATGCGTTAATTGTTAAATGTGATGAAATTGTATGCAAGAGGGCAGTATATGATGCATCCGTGCAAGTCCTGACCAGTTGGTGCCCCTCACCTTGGGTTTCCCATCTCTGACTCCCCAAGAGTATTGGGGTATCCACTGGGAAATAGAAAATTATGATGGCAAGTCTTGCTGAAACGTGAATGGCACTTGCCATGCAATTTGTGGCGGGCGGGGGGGTTGTTTCTTTGGAAATACACTCTTGATATTTTTGGGTACAAGATGTTAACCCTAAGTTGGTGTAAGATGCCCATCCTGGGAAGGAGATAGCAGGAGCAGGACACTGTACCACAACCAAAGAGGCAATCCCCCGAAGGAGTGACTCCAGGCAACCAGTGGAGACAAAAGGGGCAAAGCAGGAAAGAAATTGTTGGCCCCATATTCCCTACCCTACTCGTTCATGAGCCCTTGAGGGGGGCTGGTCCTGAGTCGTGCCAGATGGGGTCAGTGCTGCCGCCCTCTCTGGGGACTGGCTTGGTCCCAGGTACAGAGGCAGATACAAGAGCATCCAGCATGCTGGCAGATGAAACAAGAGACAGAAGAGACAGAGGGTCGCAGGCACAAGGCCTTCTCACTCAAAGCAGATGCTGATGTTTTCTTTGAGTAGCCAAAATATTACGCAGATATCTTTTCCTCTTTGAATGTGAAATCATGCTGAATTTGGGAGATGCTGGCCCACAGAACCTAAATATAGCTTCTTGACATGCTGAAATTGATCTGCGATGGTAACTTGCTGTGATAAATAATTGAAAACAATGTACCTCTACCTGCTTTGATGGAAGTCATCATCTTAGGGAAGCCTGAATATTTGTACAACTGTTAATATTCATTTTTTCTTGGATTGGGGAAATTTTATTTGTATATTATGTTTATCTTAGTGCAGTAAACATGAGTTGATAAATTATTGTTTTCAGATGTGCTGCTTTTTCTATAAAATAATAGTGATAGTAAACATAATTAACATTTATAGAGGACTTTCTTCAGACTCTGTGCTGAGTGCTGCATGAATTATCTCTTTAACCCTCACAATTACTCAATGAGGTAAAAAGTACTCTTTTTTTCCTCATGTTTCAGTGGGGAAACTGAGACCAAGAAAGAGAAAGTAACTTACTCAGCTTGTTTCGAAGCTTGTTAATAGCATGGGAGGTTTCAGTCCTAGAAAATCAGATTCTGACTCCTGAATGCTTAATCCCTGGGCTCCCTGGGCTCCACTTCCCTGTAAACCTGAACTTTTCAAACTTAATTGAAGGGAGGAGTGCTACGTATGCTTATTTCAATCCCAATTCAAGGTGACTCTGACTTTTTATCTGGATTTCTGGATTTTTTTCCATGAAATACAAACTGCTTTGAAATGTGCTAATTATATACAAAAGGCCCTTATTGACTCATAACTCAGCTGATTTGTGGCTTTTCTCTTGGTCTAACTCATGCGTTGTTTTATTAATAATTATTATAAAAGTAATGGGAATCTTGATAAAAATGTCTAACAGATATAAAAGTGAAATATTACCTTCACTCTCATCCCTGTTTCCTAGAGGTAATCACCTCTAGGAAATTTAGCAATTTCTTACATGACCTTCCAGAAATACATGATTTCTTTATACACTTATACATTAACGAACATATAAACACCCATTGAAAATACAATACAGACTTCTATGACAGATCGTATTCTACAACTTGCCTTTCTCACTAAAAACATACACATAACCTTTGACTCATCAATTAAACATATGCAGATATATATGCAAAAAATCAATTGTTCAATTCATTGACCCAAAGAGCAAAAGACTTGAAACCACCCAAATGTTCAACTGCAGATCAGTCTAATTAATTATGATATACATAAAATGGGTTATCAAGCAGCAAAGTGTATGTACTAAAATGGAAAGATCGCTTTTGTTGTTTCTTATCCTTTATTTAAATTTTCTAAGTCAGGTAATGGAAAATATACATGTCTCCTACTATTATCTCTTGCCAAAAAAGACTTGCCTAACACCTATAGCTTTGAGGGTTACTGCTAGAAATTTTGTCTCTCAAGCAACAACTCAGAACATTTCCTTTGCAAACCACAAAGCAAAAGCCTCTCCAGGTGTCCATAATGTGCAAAGCACTTATTTTTCTATGCTTTTCTATGGAGAGGAAAGAAAGGAGGCAACCATAGAAAGGTATTTTCTTGTTCTGTCTCTAGTTCCTTTTCCAGGGCCTTTCCTGCTATCCCAGAACATAAATTAAAAATACAATAAAACAGAATACAACAATAAAGACGCCCAAACAAAATCAGCTCTAAAAAGCTTCCTAAATTATTCAGCAAGTGAGTATCTACTCAAAGTTTTGAAGGGGCTGTCTGATTTCATTTCTATAAACTTGGTATTTTAGGGAGATTTTAAGAGTGTGATACTATTCTTGCAGTCTCCTTAGCAGAACAGGCTAGCTCTTAGCCTTGATGGTCCCTTTAGCACTTCCCCATCCCAGGACTGTGGCTGCTTCCTCTGCCTGTTCTCTGATGTAGTATCTTATGCCTTTGTCCTGAAGTGCCACCTCTGGCCACAGCTCGGCAACTGTTGATTCAGATATTACAGATGAAAGGGAGAAGCATTTGGTAACACTTGTGGTTTATTATTTAAATTGATCTCCCTTAAAGTGTTATTCTTGTTCATGTATTAATAACACTGGAGTCAGGATTATATTTAAAATACTTCAAAGCTGTTTCAAGGCAGGGCACCAGGCATTGGCCAATCAGCAGGGTCCTGGAAGCTCCCAGCTGCAGTGGGTGTTAACCCTTTAGTTGCTGGATGGTGGAAAGTTCTAGAAGGTCCAGAGGATGATAGGTGGAATCATCCTATCAGGTGACCAGGATATCTGGGAGAGGGACCATGGGGTTGGGAAGTGTTTTAATATTGTAACTGCCATCACAGCTGTACTGATAGGTAGTCTTGATGATGCAATGGGTAAAAAGAACATGTCCAGAAACGAACAATGCCAATAATTGGAGAATTCAAAATATTAAATTCAGTAAACCTTTGTTGCATGGCAGACCCTGTGCCGAACCTAGGATTATCGCAATGACTAAGACCCACACCATCCCAACCGTCTTGAAACTTGTGAGCTAGATAGGAAGACAATGCTATCTTGAAAAGGATTTTATTTCACTAGGACTACTTAACCTGAAAACATGAAAGTTCAAAGAAGAGTTTTTATTTATTATTTAGAGATGGGGTCTGGGCTCAAGTGATCCCCTCCAGCCTCCTGAGTTGCTGGGACTAGAGGTGCACTGCTACACCTTGATAAGTTTTAAAACAATTTTTTTTTTTTGTTGAGATGGGGTCTCACTGTATGACCCAGGCTGGTCTTAAACTCCTGGCCTCATGAGATCCCCCAACCCTGGCTTCCCAAAGTGCCGGGATTACAGGTATGAGCCACCACACTTGGCCCCGAAGAGGAAGTTTTTAATTGCAAGGTGTGGTATGAAAAGACCAGCTGTTACCTGTGGCAATTAAAGAAATAAACCTCCTTAAGAGAAATGGCTGTTAATCACAAAGAAACATTGTTTTTTATGCTGTGAATATGATTAGGGCCTGGCATAGACCTTAGGGGAAGCCTCTAAAAATGAGGCAGTTACCCCCATATCTAGGGCAGATGGTCATGTTCAACTCCAGGCAGCAGGGAGTCCCCATCACCAGCCTGTCTGCAAGAGGCCCACAGGTTCCTGCGATTCTGTGCACTCTGTCCTGTAGGAGGAACTCAACTGGTCGTTTTTGTGTAATGCAAGCATGGTATTGGAGGAATTTTTATAAAAACCATAAGCAAAACTGAATACTTCTTTCTAAAAACAGATTCTGTGACTGAAGATGAGTTCAATCACAGGATTCTCTCAGCCGGGCTCTGAAGGGCCTTGCTCTGAATTCTGGGCTCTTAAGCACCAGTGAGTGATGACTCTGGCAGCTTTTCTAGGCCCGAGTGTGGAACTTTCTTGATCTTGTGTGGAATGGTTATTGACTATAGATAGCATCTATCTATTGAAGAAACAGGCCATGTTGCAGAGAAAATATCAGGCCATCTTCCTCCTTGTATCTGTTCCCCGTGTGCCATTTTGTGAAAACTGCTTGTATTGTGGAAACAAACCCATTTTGGCTCCTTTTGGCTCTCTGCAGACAGTCCGTGGAAAAGCCAAGTTGAATCCCACTCTACCTTATGAATCATTCTCCCATCTGCCAGCTGAATCCTGGCTGAGGCCACTTTGTTTTAGGAGAAGGAGGTGCAGAGTGAAAAGGAAACATGTTGATTCTCCCAGCTCAGGACATTTGTAGTATAATTAGAAACATAATGTTTTGACTTGAAAGCTGATCACATCTGATATGGGTGTCAGCGAAACAGAATAAATTTTTTTAATCTTTTTGGTGTAATTTAATAGAATAAGAGCTTTGATGGGGATGACACCACTCCAAGTGCTGTTAATATGAAATTGCTTCCCTGCTCCCTGGCTCCTTTAAGAAATGTAGATGTGAAATCAGTGTAGACATGTCTACAGCTGAATAGTAAAGATGAATTTAAAAACATGCTTCATATCTGGGTCACTTTAAAGTAAATATCAGACACTGTTGGTTATTCCTGTGTCT
Source organism: Homo sapiens (assembly GCF_000001405.40). Lineage (NCBI taxonomy): Eukaryota > Metazoa > Chordata > Mammalia > Primates > Hominidae > Homo > Homo sapiens. The sequence continues at coordinate 6,956,342 of NC_000010.11, read as the reverse complement.
CATAGATAAGAAGAGGCTACAGAATGTACCTTGAGTTAGGATCCTGGGAATGATATACATTTGGGGAATTTATTATTTCAGAAACATATACTCTTGTTCCCACAAAAAAACACTGATTTTAATCAAAACATGATGTGTGTAATCATTTAAAACTTTATGGTGGCTTCTTTTAGCCTCGCAGTACTTGGATTTTATGAGAACAACAGTAAATATGAGAATTTAGGGCTCTGATAGACGGGCAAAAGATAGAGACCTTAAACTCACCGCAGCCTGTGTGATAGAACTGATGGTGCCACGTGACCTTGACCTTGCTATGCCCATCCTTGCAGTCCTCACATAACAGGGATCTGCACATAGCCTGTTTTCAAAAAATATTTGTTGAGTGAATGAATGTGTGAGCAAACAAGGGGAAAATGAATAATCCTTGGCACCTGGGAGAAAGAAGATCTGGGCTTTGTAGGTTTGTTTGGTGTCATTTTCTTACAATCTCAAGATTCAAAGATCCAAGTGTTTCAGATGAGAAACCCTGAAGGGAGGGGTTAGTTTTCTGTTCTGCACCATAGACGATCATCACTGTAGCCGCGTCCAGCAACATGGTGTATGAGCATGCAGTTCTCCAGGGTGGCCTTCAGCGGGGCTCAGCGGGGCTCCTGCTTCAGGGCTCCAGTTGGATCAAGATGGCAACCAGGCAGGGTTCTCCTCTGGAGGCGTGGGCTCTTCTTCCAAGCTTATGTGGTTGCAGCAGGATTCAGTTACCTGTGGCTGTGGGACTGAGGTCCCTGTCTCCAGGCTGGCTGTCAGCCTGGGGCTGCTGTGTGTTCCCATCCACTGCCCACATCCCTTCCCACGGAGCTCCTCCATCTTTTAACTAACAGTGATGCTTGGAGTCCTTTTCACCATAAAAGGTTCATGTGATCATATCGGGTCCATCTGATCATCTTCAAGTCAATTGACTTGGGACTTTAATTTCATCTGCAAAACCCTTTCACAGCGGTAGTAGAGTAGCCGTTGATTAAATAACCAGGGCAAGAGGAGGTTCACTTTTAGAATTCTGCCTGTCAGTAGAGACCATCAATCAGCCATGCAGGATGCGGATGCAGTAGTTGTAGGGGCCGCAGTGACCTGTCAGAAGCCTGCCGAAGGGCCTTCAAATTAAAAAGCATATTGACCACCATGCCAGCTGCAGAGCTTGGGTCTATGGGCTGGTTCTGCTGCAGGCTTTAGGCTTGGCACTCCTGGTCTCGGTTAGCCCTTCCATTGTTGGTGGAGTTAGTGTGCTGCTTTGAGATGATTTATCAGTGCCACACTGCTGAGGAGGTCTCATCTTGCCAGAATCCAGGCCTTCTGGCTTGTGGGTCTGGGGTATTTTCACAGTGCTTGAGTTGATTAGAAATTGTTTCATTATGTGACTTTCTTCATTGCTTTGTGTTCTCATCCCATATTTATGTTAATACTGGGCATGGTGACTGCAATGCCCCAGGCTAGCTCCTCCTTTGAGTACAAATGAGATTCCACCTATGTTAAGATTAAAATCCTGCTGCTCTGAGTTTCCATGGCTGCACTGGTAGGAAATTCAGCAGAGCTTCATGTTCCCCTCCCCAGATCTGAGAATTCTCAGGGGTGTTCTCTTGTGTCCATGCCTGACTCAGTCCTGGACATTTTCATCACTTGCTAGAGGAGAAGGAGCTCAGGTGTGAACTCCAAGGCCAGATTCACCCCCAGTGGCCTGTCTGCTTCCTGTCCCTGCATGGATACTCATGATGCCATGGAAGGGGTGGCTCAGCAGCTGCTTTGAGGACAGGGAGCAGGAAACAGCACTGAGAAGGCACGGTCTTTGTCCCAAGTCTGTTCATAGATCAGATACCAAGAAGGGCAGTGTGTGGCCCTTTCATTTTCTTGCTCTACTCTTCCTTGGAGATTTTACCTACTGCCTTGGTTTCAACTACAAACAAAGACTATACATCTTTGCTATCTGAGTTTCCAGGAAAAAAAAATCTTTTTTAGAACTGAAGCTTTATATCTCCAGGTTTTTACTGGAAATTCCATGGATTTATTTTCACTGCTGAACTCAACATATCAAGACTGACTTCATCATCTCTCTCCAAACTGGCTCAGTCTTTTGGCGTTCCCATTTTTTCAAGAAGCTTCACATTTCCCCCAGTAATTCTAGTGTATAACCTGGGATATAATTCTGACTCCTTTAAAAAAAAAAAAAAACAATCAGTTGCTGTGTTAGTTTGCTTGGACTACTGGAGCAAAATACCACAGATGAGGTGGCTTATGAATGAAAACCTCTCAACTCACAGTTCTGAAGACCAGAAGTCCTAGATCTAGTGTTGGCAGGGTTGGCTCTTTTGGAGGCTGTGGGGGAGAATATGTCCTGTCAATCTTTGGTATACTTTGGCTTGTGGAAGCATCATTCCAACCTCTGCCTTCACCATGGCTGTTGTTGGGAGGTTCCCGATGTATACTTACAGTAAATTATTCCTCTGGACTGAGGTCTAGCTTGGCTGCTCTTTGGCTGGTGTTGGCGGTTATGATTGTTAGAACTGCTTTGGCACAGATCCCAAAGGCTCCAGGGATAGGATTGTTTAGAAGACACAGTGATGACATCTCTGTTTGGGTAAAATGATCCCAGAGCCACACATCCACTATCCCAGCATTCCTAAAACCAAAAGCACTTGGACAGCATCATAATAGTCACGTCCACGCCCCCAGGCCTCAGCTGCCTCCAAACACTGGTGCTTACAGAGGTCGAAGTGACTGTTGGTCCTGATTATGTCTGGCACAATCCCACTGGACTTTATTCTGGTCAGGGTTCAGCAAACCACGCCAGAAAAATCCCAGAATGCTTGGCCTTAACTGTGAAGTTGATGGGATGCAGATCTATTTTCCTTTCCCCGCTGTTCTTAGCAATTGTTGAATCTCAGCAGGTGGTCTGATTCCAGTCAAGGGTCACAAGAGAAAAAAGATGTTTGTGATCTCATAGGCATACTTCAGTGGCACAAAGTTATTTCCAATTAAAAGAAAAACGCATTAAGTAACAGTCTAGTTAACTAGAAGTCAAATTTCCCCAAATTTTAACGCTCTAAAACATGGTCCCAGACCTAAATTCAAGAAATAAAGCTCCTACAGTGAAGTCATTACACTTTGTCCATTGGTTTCTCACACAGGGCTGTCAACTGTAATTTACAACAAATTCTTAACAAACTAGGTCTTCTACCCATAAGAGATTACCAGTGGAACCTAGAAAGGAATAGAGCATTCTCTCTCCTCTAGAAACAGGAAACACAAACTGTGCAGACACAAACTGGGAAATACAAATAAACTTTTGTAATAATGACATATTATGTAATGTATATATATATATAATTAAGAAAGTTGTTTTTTAAGATGCTTTCTTCTTTCTTTTCCTTTTTTTTTTTTTTTTTTTTTTTTTTGAGACAGGGTCTCACTCTGTTGCCATGGCTGTAGTGCAGTGGTACGATCTCGGCTCACCACAGCCTTGACCTCCTGGGCTCAGGTGCTCCTCACACCTCAGCCTCCTGAGTAGCTGGAACCACAGTGTTCTGCCACCACGCCCGGCTAATTTTGGTAGTTTTGTTTTTGTAGAGATGGGGTTTTGCCATGTTTCCTGGACTGGAAGATGCTTTCTTTTCAAGAGTTCATTGTGTTTCATATTAAGTTCATTGTGTTTATCCTTCTATAAAAACATATATATATTTTCTTATGCTTATTATTTGCCTTCCTATGGTAATAATTTTTATTCATGGGAATTAAAAAATACTACTTCTACTTGTGTAGAAATAGAAATACCATGTCCATGGGTATGAATGAAATGCAATAATATGGTAATTAAGTAGTATCCAATAAAATTTTCAATCTATTGGTACATTACATGAATTATTTAATTAAGTTTGTTAACGGTTTACTAAGTAGGTATTGCCTGTTTTAATATTAAACACCCTTATCATTATAGGGTGTAAGACATACTGAATATGATTTCAAATGTACTTCTAATTTTTTGGAGGTTATCTCCCTTAGCATAGATGACTTTGTAGTTTTCCTCAAGCACACAACTTCTATACAATTTTTAAGGTTGTAAGTTTGAATCAATGACCTTCTCTTATATGGAAAATTTCATTATGTATAACATTTTATTTTCCAAGAAACCAAATGAAGTGTCACCAGGTATATTCTGATTATTTATTTTTCCTTTAAACTACTTCATATATACGCACCTGTTCTAAGACTTTGCACTATCCATGATTTTTCTCCATTCCATTTTTTTTCTTGGTTAGGAACAAAACCGTCAATAACTGTAGATGAAAACTGTTTGCAGTAGCATGCTGAGATAATCTGGTTGGAAGGCTTTGATTGATGTGTGTCTAAAGATAAATGCATACGGCATCAATTGCATCTCTGCTTTCTGCAGAGCCAGTTCCAAGTGCTCATTAGAGTGTCTGGCTTTCCTTCTGGCACCTGTTGTTTCACAGGACTTTATAAGCTCTCTGCTTCTAATAAATGAAATTATACTTCTGCAGGACGGTTCCCATAAGCAATCAAGGAAACACCATCTCAAAGTCTCTAAGCCTGGGCATCATGAGAGCCATTGTCCTGGCCCCAACATGAAATGATGGAGGTTGATTAGTTTTTTACTGGTCTAAAGGTCCAGAGAATCTCCCTAAAAGGCAAATGCAGAACATTAGAACTCTGGAAATAGCTGCTTGTAATTGAAAACTGTTACTGCTGATAGTGTGACTTTACTAAAATTTAGCTTTCTGATGAGGCCTTGACTTCCAGAATCTTAGGGTGAGGATAAAAGGAGGATTTGCTTGGATTCCATAAGTCAAGTTTTTCCCATGCTCTGGTCACTTTCTGTTACCAGATTTGCCTGTCCTCATGGAAACACATTCACCCTACAAAGCTTAAAATTCCCACTTAATCTTTGTTTCATTATGTTCGTGAATAATGTGCTGTGATGCTGTGAAAATCCAGAGAGCTCAGCAAGCAACCCTCTAACAACAGACTTGGCTGTGGATCTGTGTGTGAGCCAGTGCATGTGTATGCACTGGCGTGTGCAAGCATGTGTATGCGTGTGTGTGTGTTTAAAGGCACCAAACAGTAACCGAATGTCATGGAAAAGGAGTTGAAATTCTGAATGCATCTAGATTACTCTTCAGGACTCATTTTAAGCTTCAAGATGGAAAGAAACTCTTCAATGCTTAGTGAAACAAACTTCAAGGGTCTTGATTCAGAGATCATTTTATTGTTGGAAGGTACATCTACAGTGAGTTACTTTTGGGCCAACCCTGGCATAAAGTGTGAATTTAGCCATGAATGTGTGGCCTTCCAGCACACTTCTCTTTCCCAGCTCCCTCCCTGCCCATAGGGCTGCTCTCCTCCCTCCTTGCCTCTCAGGCACCAGTGTTCTCTTCACTTTTTCCTCCTGTTGAACCCTGTCAACACCTCCCAGAAGAAGCAAGGAGAGAGGGCCTGATTTTTTTTTTCTCATTAGAAAAAAAAGCTTTATTTCAATAGTTTTTGGGGGGGTACAGGTGGGTTTTGATTACATGGATAAGTTCTTTCATAGTGGCTTCTTAGATTTTGGTACACCTATCACCTGAGCAGTGTACACTTTTATCCCTCACCTCCATCCATCTCTTCCCCAACTGAGTCACAGAGTCCCTTATGTTATTCTTGTGCCTTGGTGTCCTGATATGGTTTGGCTGTGACCCCACCCAAATCTCATCTTGAATTGTAGCTCCCATAATTCCCACATGTCATGGGAGGGACCCAGTGGAAGGTCATTGAATCATGGGGGCAGGTCTTTCCCATGCTGTTCTCCTGATAATGAATAAGTCTCATGAGATGTGGTTTTATAAAGGGCAGTTCCTCTGCACAAGCTCTCTCTTGCCTGCCACCATGTAAGATATGACTTTGCTCCTCCTTTGCCTTCCACCATGATTGTGAGACCTCCCCAGCCATGTGAAAGTGTGAGTCAATGAAGCCTCTTTCCTGTATGAATTACCCAGTCTCAGGTATGTCTTTACTGGCAGCATGAGAACAGACTAATACATGTCCTCATAACTTAGCTCCTACTTGTAACTGAGACGATATGACATTTGGTTTTCCATTCCTGAGTTACTTTACTTAGAATAATCGCCTCCAGCTCCAACCAAGTTGCTACAAGAGACATGATTTCATTGCTTTATATGAATGAGTAGTATTCCATGGTGTATATGTTCCACATTTTCTTTGCCCACTTGTTGGTTGATGGGGCCTGGTTATGAAGAAATGTCAATTACTAATGAGCATTTAAAGCATCACTCCCCTCATTTCTATAGCTCTAATTTCTTGGGGCCCAAAACTTCAACCTAAGAAATAAAGGATTCTTTGTGGAAATTTGGATAATAACCAAGGATTATCTGATTGATTTCTTTTAATAATCCAGGTAGATTTTTGTTGAGACCACTAGTCATGTTTACTAATGTAATGTGGGTCCCTGGAACTATGGTGAGGTTGACTTTGGAAGTAAAGAACAATCTTGGCTTTAGATATTGGGGTGCTTCAACATATTTTCTTTTCAAGATTTGCAGACTTTTACTGCCCCTGTAACCTACATCGCAAATTTAGCCAATATTATGGACTGAATGTTTGAGTTCCCCCAAAATTCTTATGTGGACTCCCTAACGTGCAATGTGATGTATTTAGAGATAGGGCCTTTGGGAGGTGATTAAGTTTAAATGAGGTCATGAGGATGGGGCTCCCAAGATGGGATAAATGTCCTTAGAAAATAAAGAACAAGGAAGAGGAAAAGAAGAAGCAGGAAGAGGAGAAGGAAGAGGAGAAGAAGGCAGGGAGGGGACACCAGAGCTCTCTCTCTCAACTGAGTGAGGACACAGCAAGAAGGTGGCCATCTGCAAACCAGGAAGAGAGCCCTCATCAGGAACTGAGCCAGCTAACAGCTTGACCTTGGACTTCCAGCTTCCCAACTGTGAGAAATAAATGTCTGTTGTTTAAGCCACCCAGTCTATGGTACTCTGTTACAGCAGCCGGAGCTGACTAACACGGCCAACATATCTGTTACCTTGGTTCTAAACAGACTACCCAAAGGGTACAAGAGATGATACTCTCAGTGAATTGAGGAACATTGGCAAAATGTTTGGTCATGCTTGATAATTAAGATGTAATTATGTATAACAGAAATGGTAATGTATCTTACAAATACGAATATCTGAAAAGAGCATTTTCAAAAATTGTAGTAACATATTTGGAACATACAGTTTACCATTGCAATCATTTTTAGCTGTACAATTCAGTGGTATTAAATACATTCACAATGTTATGCAACCATCCATCTTCATTACTATTTTCGTCTTGTTAAACAGAAACTCTATGCCTATTAAACAATTAATTCCCATTTCCTCTCCCATCAGCCCCTGGCAGCCACCATTCTACTTTCTGTCTCTGTGAATTTGGGGACCTCATGTGATTGGAACCACACAGTACATCTTTTTGTAATGGGCTTATCTCACTCAGCATCCTGTCTTCAGAGTTTATCCATGTTGTATTAATAGCGTGTATCAGAATTTCCTTCCTTTCTCAGGCTGAATAATATTCCATTGTATAGATAGGCCACATTTTGTTTATCCACTCATCTATCAATGGGCACTGGGTTGCTTCTACCTTTTGGCTATTGTGAATAATGGTGCTATGGACATGGGTTCATAAATATCTTTTTGAGACTCTATTTTCAATTCTTTTGAGTATAAACCCAGAAATTGTTGGATCGTATGGCAATTCTAGTTTTAATTTTTGAGGAGCAATCAGTGTTGTATTTATTTTTATTTTTCCATAAGTTGTTGGGGTACAGGTGATATTTGGTTACACGAGTAAGTTCTTTAGTGGTGATTTGTGAGATTTTGGTGCACCCATCACTCGAGCGGTATACACTGCACCATATTGGTAGTCTTTTATCCCTCACCCCCTCACTCTTCCCCCCAAGTCCCCAAAGTCTATTGTCTCATTCTTATGCCTTTTCATCTGCATAGCTTAACTCCCACATATCAGTGAGAACATACGATGTTTGGTTTTCCATTCCTGAGTTGCATCACTTACAACATTAGTCTCCAGTCTTATCCAGGTCACTGCAAATGCTGTGAATTCATTCCTTTTTATGGCTATGTAGTATGCCTGTAAAATATATATATATATATATATATATATATATATATATATATATATATATATATCTCACAGTTTCTTTATCCACTGATTGATGGATGGGCATTTGGGTTGGTTCCACGATCTTGCAGTTGTGAATTGCAGATGGGCATTTGGGATGTTGACACGATGTTGCAATTGTGAATTGTGCTGCTATAAACATGCATGTGCAAGTATCTTTTTCGAATAATGACTTCTTTTCCTCTGGGTAGATACCCAGTAGTGGGGTTCCTGGATCAAATGGTAGTTCTACTTTTAGTTCTTTAAGGAATCTCCACAATGTTTTCCATAGTGGCTGTACTAGTTTACATTCCCACCAGCAATGTAGAAGTCTTCTCTGTTCACTGCAACCACATCAACATCTACTGTTTTTTGATTTTTTGATTATGGCCATCCTTGCAGGAGTAAGGTGGTATCTCATTGTGGTTTTCATTTGCATTTCCCTGATCATTAGTGATGTTGAGCATTTTTTCATGTTTTTGGCCATTCGTATATCTTCCTTTGAGAATTGTCTATTCATGTCCTTAGTCCACTTTTTGATGGAATTGTTTGTTTTGTTCTTAAGCTGTTTGAGTTTGTTGTAGATTCTGGATATAAGTCCTTTGTCAGATGTATAGATTGTGAAGATTTTCTCCCACTCCGTGGGTTGTCTGTTTACTCTGCTGACTGTTCGTTTTGCTGTGCAAAAGCTCTTTAGTTTAATTAGGTCCCAGCTATTTATCTTTGTTTTTATTGCATTTGCTTTTGGGTTCTTGGTCATGAAATCCTTGCCTAAGCCAATGTCTAGAAGGGTTTTTCCAGGGTTATCTTCTAGAATTTTTATAGTTTCAGGTCTTAGGTTTAAGTCCTTAGTCCATCTTGAGTTGATTTTTGTATGACAGATGAGGATCCAGTTGCATTCTCCTACATGTGGCTAGCAAATTACCCCAGCACCATTTGTTGAAAAGGGTGTCATTTCCCCACTTTGTGTTTTTGTTTGCTTTGTTGAAGATCAGTTGGCTGTATTTGGGTTTATTGCTGGGTTCTCTATTCTGTTCCAATGGTCTATGTTCCTATTTTTAAAGCAGTACCATGCTGTTTTGGTGACTATGGCCTTACAGTATAGTTTGAAATCAGGCAGTGTGATGATGCCTCCAGGTTTGTTCTTTTTGCTTAGTGTTGCTTTGGCTATACAGGCTCTTTTTTGGTTCCATATGAATTTTAGAATTGGTTTTCCTAATTCTGTGAAGAATGATCATGGTATTCTAATGGGCTTTGTATTGAATTTGTAGATTGCTTTTGGCAGTATGGTCATTTTCACAATATTGATTCTACTTATCCATGAGCATGGGATGTGTTTCCATTTGTTTGTGTCATTTATGATTTCTTTCAGCAGTGTTTTGTAGCTTTCCTTGTAGAGGTATTTTGACTCCTTTGTTAGGTATATTCCTAAGTGATTTATTTATTTATTTTTGCAGCAATTGTAAAAAGGGTTGAGTTCTTGATTTGATTCTCTGCTTGGTCACAGTTGGTGTATAGAAGAGTTACTAATTTGTGTACATTAATCTTGTATCCAGAAACTTTGCTGAATTCTTTCATCAGTTCTAGGAACTTTCTAGAAGAGTCCTTAGGGTTTTCAATGTAAACAATCATATCGTTAGCAAACAGTGACAGTTTGACTTTCTCTTTACCGATAAACCAGTATTTTAAATACTCTGTTAAACCAAAGACTGCAGCATTGCAGATACATTTGTCTGTGGGGCACCTGTGTGGGACATCCTCGTTGCTGGGAACAATCTTTATACTTGTCTGCATGCCAATGGCAGGAGCCTAAAGAGAGACCAGAAACATTGTCTGTAATAAAAAGCACCAAGTACCATAGAATCATCAAGGAATAAAGTTGGGATGGAATGTCAAGAATTTTTTCAGCCTCCATCCTTATGTGGTTTACATAACGTTGTTATCCATTTTATAGGTTGACAACTGTCCTGAAGTCACACAACTAGAAAATAATGGGTGAGGATTTAAACCTGGATGTCTTGGTTTTTGGCCATAGCCTTTTTTTAATGACACATTGATCTCAGAGTTTTAGAGGTGGAGGATACTGATTTCATGATCAGTTAAGCTAGTAGTTTTCAAACTTCTTTGTGATGGAGAAACCTTTTGTTCAAATAAAAATGTTAACAGAAATACCAGAAATAAATCACTCAGAATGAAACACGGCATTTGTACTCTCCCTTGTCCACTTCTCCATCACGGCCTCTGAAGGGAGATCCGCAAATCCCTAGGGAGCAGTTGGAAACCCATGGCTCAATATCATCAATGGGCAATGAGGGAGCTGAGGTTCTTGGTAGGCAAGGGGGATGGGCTTGGGAATGGGTGTCATTTTTCCAAGGCTGCTAAAATATCTTGGGCAAACTTGATCTAGAACACGCATTGCCAAAGATTCTCCCTAACCCAATAACTTAAGCAGCCTTCTCCCACATATAATGTTTCTAAGACAAAGTCATCTTTGCTTTTATTGAAACCCTAAAGAAAGGAAAATGCTACCCACTAGGCTACTAATTGATATTTATAAAGTAAAAACTCTACCCATATAATCTGTTTTCACAAAACTGCAAATTTTTGTAATAAACAGAGAAGGCATTACATTTTCTTAGAGGTTTTTTTTTTAAGTTTAGAAGAAAATATTTTGGACTTAATAATTTTTATTGTGCACATTTAAGAGAGAGGAGAAGGAGGGTGGGAGAGTGGGAGGAAGGAAGAAGCAGAAAAAGAAAGAGAAGCCATGGAAAATACATTTCCATAACTCCTAGTGTCGTGGCTGCAATTGGGCAGATTCAAGCTCTCTGATGCTGCAGTGTGAAACCCGAGAGAGGACATGGGGTCTGAATTTCTCAACATGCAACTTATCAGCCTCTCAGATCTTATTGTTACAGGAAAGGGGTCCTGATCCAGACGCCAAGAGAGCGTTCTTGGATATCATTCAAGGAAGAATTCAGGGTGAGCCCATAGTACAAAGCAAAAGCAAGTTTATTAAGAAAGCAAAGAGGTGAAGGGACAGCTACTCCATAGACAGAGTAGGACGTTCCTGAAAGTAAGAGGAGGAGCGCATCCACCCTAGGTACAATGCTGGTATATATGGGGAGATGTGTTCTGCTCAAGGGTTTGTGATAAAGGATTGATTTTCTTAATTAATATATTTTGTAAGGATCGATATTATTATATTTAAAGCAAAATTAGGAATGCCTTTATTCTCCAGATATTGGGATATCTGGACACTCCCAAGTCTGGGTCTGTTTAGTAAACATTATTAATTTGTTCCCTTGGCCATAAACATCTGTAGAGGCTAGGAAGGCCATACTTTCTGATAATGCAGCCCAGGAAGCAAGTCCCAGCCTCATTTTCCAGCCCCACTCAAAAGGGAGTCGCTCTGGTTCAAATGCCTCTGACATTAAGTCTTTGGCTGGAGATCCAAGATTTGATGCCTTCATTTGATGGCTCCCCTTCAAGGTTCTTCCTTCCATGGGAATCAGGGGTTTGTTAATCCTTTTGGAAAGAGTTCGTTTTCCCATTAGTTTTGCCCGTGTTGATTTGCTCAGTCATGGTCATTCTTCAAGACAAAATGATTACTGGCAACTCTCAGAATTCTACTGGGATCATGAATTTCTTCTGAAACTCCAGTACATTTACGTACATCAAAACTCATAAGTCTTTGTAACTTTCCCTTTAGGAGAAACTCAAGCATTCTCTTCAATTAAAAATAAAAATTTAAACACTGCCCCTGAAAATGTAAGATTAGGGTGAGGGCAGTTTTCTTTCTGTGTGATGCTTAGTTACCAGGGGAGGTAATAAGCCCTTTCTACTGTCACCTTTTGCTCCTTGCTCCTTCTCCAGGGTGAACAACATGAACAATAAAGAGGTTCTCATTGCTAATAGTCTCATCCATCAGCTTGTACCTGTATATGCAGGTTAGAGCTTAAGGTGGGATGTTAGGTTGAAGAAGCGATCTTTCTCTTTCTCTGAGGGCTTTTATTGCCTTTCATTTTTTAAGTGGGCGAAAGGTTTTCAGTCCTGTAGGAATCTTTTTGAGCTTGCTTCTTTCTTTGTTCCTCTTCATTCTCCTGAGGTGGGCCAGGGAAGAGGTGATTGAGAGGAGGATCTTAATGAAGAAGAGAATCATTCTAATTCTTCAAACTCTTTAGTCTCGGCCTAAGAAACAAGATATTGCTGCTTTCTTTGAAGATGTTTAAAGCCTTTCCTATAGTGATTGCAGGTCTTTGTGGGCAGAAGCAATGGTGTTTACAAGTAACATCTTCTAGGCTGCAAAATACTGCAAGTGGCAGAACAGGGAGGTTCTTAGTCTTTCTTTATTGGCTCTTACACTGGGACTCTTTTTTTTTTTTTTTTTTTTTTTGAGACAGGGTCTTGCTCTGTTGCTCAGGGTGGAGTGCAGTGGTGCAATCTTGGCTCACTGCAACCTCTGCCTCCCGGGTTCAAGCAATTCTCCTGCGTCAGTCTCCCGAGTAGCTGGAATTACAGGCATCTGCCACCACACCCGGCTAATTTTTGTATTTTTAGTAGAGATGGGGTTTCACCATGTTGGCCACACTGGTCTCGAACTCCTGACCTCAAGTGATCCACTCATGTCAGCATCCCAAAGTGTTGGGATTACAGGCGTGAGCCACTTGCCTGACCACTGTGACCTTTTTTCTTTTTTCTTTTTTTTTTGACAGAGTCTCACCCTGTCGCCCAGGCTGGGGTGCAGTGGTGCAGTCATGGCTCACAGCAACCTCCGCCACCCAGGTTCAAGCAATTCTCCTACCTCAGCCTCCCAAGTAGATGGAATTACAGGCATATGCCACCACACCCAGCTGATTTTCGTATTTTTAGTAGAGATGGGGTTTCATCATGTTGGTCAGGCTGGTCTTGAACTCCTGACCTCAAGTGATCTGCCCGTATCAGCTCCCAAAAGTGCTGGGATTACAGGCGTGAGCCACGGTGCCCAGCCCCTGTGATTTTTAACTCAGCTTTTACTCAATGGCGTAGGAAAAAACAAACCATTTAACAAATGCAAGTGCCTCATCTGAGCCAGGTGGGCTTGTGTTGGCTGCTGGGGGAACAGTGGCAAACAACACAAACTTAGAATTTGACTTTGCATACGTTATGTCTATTAGGGAAATAGATGTTAAAAGTAATTTCATGGGATGTTAGGGACAATTTAGGATAAGAGGAAGATTTTGGAAGTGAGTGATCCTCGACCTCTGTAAACCATACATGGTATTCAGAAATACTTTTAAAAATCTAAAGTACAAAAACATCAAAAGGTTGATGCAACAATGCAGATGAGAAGGAATCCAGGTGGGAGCTGGGGCTGATCACCGGTTCTAATCTTCCTAAATTAAACACGATGTGAGAACACATGTTGGGATCAGGGAAAAATCACCATGGCGATGTGTGATGCCAAAGGTTGCGCTTGGAAGAAACCACGCTGCTCTCCTGAGAGAGAAGTGGTTAATACTACAGGTGCTTCGAGAGTTCTCCTCGAAAACATGCCTACTTAGAAATTAAGTGTGTTTAGGAGTTCCCGTACTTCAAATAGGTAAGGTAGTTCAGTGCCGTTATTCTATCATAACCCAGCCAATGGTGAGGTGAAATGATTTTGTTCTTTTTTTAAAAAAGAAATCGACCAGGCACGGTGGCTCATGCCTGTAATCCCAGCACTTTGGGAGGCCGAGGCGGGTAGATTACAAGGTCAGGAGATCGAGAGCATCCTGGCTAACACAGTGAAACCCTGTCTCTACTAAAAATACAAAAAAATTAGCCAGGCATGGTGGCGGGCACCTGTAGTCCCAGCTACTTGGGACGGTGAGGCAGGAGAATAGCGTGAACCTGGGAGGTGGAGCTTGCAGTGAGCCGAGATCATGCCACTGCACTCCAGCCTGGGCGACAGAGCAAGACTCTGTCTCAAAAAAAAAAAAAAAGAAAAAGAAAAAGAAAGAAAACATGCCTTATAGAACTTTACAATGAGGAAAGATCTCAGAGACGATCTGTTTCCATTTCTCTCTGAGTGCATCCAACTCTGCTATGCTGTTTCCCTCCACAACCTGTGCTTGACAATAAGATTTCTAATACAAATAATAACTGTAGCTAACATGTAAATAGTGCTCTATGTGCCAGGCACTGGGCTGAGCACCTTACATGCCTTATCTTAGCAAAAATGCACAAGAAGTCTCTTTTTTATCTTTGTGTTATAGATTAAGTATCAGTTGCAAAGAGTTTCACACCTGCAGGGAAGTGATAGGTGGGCATTTGCCTGATTCCAGAGTCTGATCCACATGACTACCTGATGTGTTCTCTCATCTAACTAATTTAATTTTAGTTTTTCTGTTAAACAATTTCAACAAACGTGATGGGAATTTAACAGAGAGGGGACAACATAGGAATCAAGCTCAGTAGGGTTATAATACAACTAAGCCCAAAAGGTTGGTCCCAAATTCACCAATAAAGAAGATGGGGCTGGGCATGGTGGCTTATACCTGTAGTCGCAGCACTGTGGGAGGCTGAGGAGGGCATATCACCTGAGGTCAGGAGTTTGAGACCAGCCTGGCCAACATGGCAAAACCTCGTCTCTATTAAAAATACAAAAATTAGCCAGGTGTGGTGGTGTGTGCCTGTAACCCCAGCTACTTGGGAGCCTGAGACATGAGAATTGCGTGAACCCAGGAGGCGGAGGTTGCAGTGAGCCGAGATAGCACCACTACACTCCAGCCTGGGCAATAGAGTGAGACTCCATCTCAAAAAAAAAAAAAAAAAATGGATGAAACATGACAGTCTCACCAGGCACCTCCTGCACTGGCTCCCAGAATGGAGTCTTTACATTTAACCATAGCTGTAAATGTGTCATTTTACCCCTGGCTGATGAAAGGTTGAGAAAGGGAAAGGAGACTCCCAGAACAGGTGCCTAGAAGAGGAAATAAAAGAGGTCAGAATCACCAATGTCTGCAAGAGGCTTGAGAGTTGTGTGAGAGAGACCTTTAGATGGATCTTGTGTTACATTTAGAGAGGAGGAATCAGGAAGGAACATAATATAACAGTAACAACATGACTAGCTTGGCTTCATCAAGGAGTTTTGAAGATAAGAAATTGTGCTTGTCTTTCAATTTCATTTTAATCTCTGAAAGAGATAATCATGCTGCTACGGCTCATCTCAGTCTGTAATGGGAAAGAAGTCCTGCTGGAGGTCAGTGAAAGAGCTGTTATGGAATGAAATGTGTCAACTGACTCCTCTACGGTCATATGTTGAAGCCCTAACCTCCAGTACCCTAAGATGTGACTATTTGGAAACAGTGTATTTACAGAGGTAATTAGGTTAAAATGAGATTATTAGGGTGGACTCTAATCCAAAATGACTGGTGCCTTTATGAGAACAGGACATATGGGCACAGACACCTCCAGAGGGAAGACAGCATGAAGATACAGGGAGAAGACAGCCATCCACAAGCCAATGAGAGATGCTTCAGAAGGAACCAACCTTGTTAACACCTTCATCTTGGACGTCCATCCTCCACAATTGTGGGACTATAAACGTCAGCTGTTCAAGCCACCCTGTCTGTAGTACTTTGTTAGGGCAGCCCTGGCCAACTAATACTAATACAACTAATTCTCAGCTTTTTTCCCTTGAATCCTTATTCATGTTTGTTCATCTGCAGCTGAGCTGTCCCATACAGTAGCCATCAATTACACTATGTAAATTTAAGTTAATTAGTATTAAGTAAAATTAGAAATTCAGTTGCGCTGGTTATATTGGATAGACTCAGTAGCCCCATGTGGCTAGTGGCTACTCCACCAGACAGCACAGATTTAGAACATTCCCATCTTCAGAGAAAGTACTATTGGATAATGTCACTTAAGGCTAGATTTGATTTACTCTTACAGTGTAACTCAAAGAGGAAGAAGATGCAGAGGCTAGAACCAAATTGAATATGGAGTAAAATTTTAAGAAATGGACTGGGAGGATTATGTGCGAGGTATAGTTTAGCTTACTCCAACACAAGGAATTGCAAGAAGAGGAGAGAGAGAGAGAATATGTGTGTGTGTGTGTGCGCGTGTGTGTAAGGGGGCTATTCCTTTATGAAGTCACATGTTACCTTGAAATAAACTTTTTAAAATGGTTTTTTTAGAAACAGGGTCTTGCTCTGTCGCTCAAGCCAAAGTTCAGTGGCGCAGTCAGAGCTCCCTGCAGCTTTGAACTCTTGGGCTCAAGTGATCCTCCCGCCTCAGCTGCCCAAGTCACAGGGACCACAGGCATGTGCCACCGTGCCCAATTTGAACTGACTTTCTAAGCCTCCATGTCTCTCAGCTCCTGTTCCTGATTATCCATCCTCAAGGTCCTAATTAAATTCTTAGTGTGATTCATTATTTCAGGCGAGTCAATTCCTGCAAATATATTGCAAGGATTTCAACTACATCCCTTAAGTGTGCAACTAAATCCTAAATTCTAATAGCAGGGGAACAGCTGAACCTCCATTTTAAATGAAGAGTGAAAAAATGGATTTGAAAGGGTCAGTGAATTCCCACACAGTGGTTTCCTGGGATAATGCATGTGTGTTCATGCTCTTACGTGAATTATGGGTCAGGAAGGCAGAAATATTAACCAAATTGGAACAAAATTTGAAGAGTGAATAGAGGGGAAGGAGAGAGTTTCAGGTGGGAATTGTACTGGTGGATTAATTATCTCAGAAAACTCATAACATTTAAGTGAATTTCCTGAAGACTGAAAAAAGGGAACTTCTCTGTGAGTTCCCAGAAAGGGATTTGAATGAACCTGAGGCTGATATGTGAAGAGGACCCATCTATTACTAAAAATATGCAATAAATTTAACAATTCAAAAGGAACAAGAGAGGCACATGAAAAATGAACACAGGGAATTCACATAAAGAAGTAAGCATGGCTTCCCCCTGATTTGTTAAGCGACCCGGTTGTCTTCTTCCTTAAGAAGAATTTTACCTAGTGTCAGGTTAGTGCAATACATAGGTTGGACATGGCTTATGTGGAAGTGGGAATGTATGGAAGGATTTCAGAAAGGAAGGAGTTCCCCTCACTCACACAATGGGCTCAGCCTGCTCTGCATAGGTTTGCAATAGAAGGAGTTCTCAGTGTGTTCAGACTCTGTCCCTCCTGAGATCTTTCTAGCCTTTCCTAACCAGCACCTAATGGCATAGGCCACTGGTTCTAAAATGCCAGTGTGTTGATAAATGTTTAATAACCAGTTCTTGGGGGCAGAAGGACAAGAAGCCTTGATTTGTAGCATTTGCCAATTTCCATGGTGTACATATTCTCACCCTGGCTGACTTCAACTGCCAACATGAGATCACTGAACACAGAGCTGGGAAGCATATTCCAAAGCCGATTCTCTAGTACTGACTGAGTGTCTTGAAATTTGATTCAGTTCTGACACTGACTTCCTGGAGTTCATGCAAACCCCGCAAGTTAAGGGCAAAGTTCTTCACAAGGCTGTCCCCACTTCAGAAGGCAGACGTACATTTCAGACATCCCCAAACCACCTGCACTTCTGCTCAGCTGACTACAAATGTGGAGCTTTTCATTCCTTCCCAGGTTTGATAATTTATGAGAATGACTTGCAGAACTGAGGAAAACGCTATACTGATGACTGCTATTTTACTATAGAGAGCACAAATGAACAGCCAGGCGAACAGGTACAGAGCCCAAAGTCAAGGAGGATCCCAAGCACAGAAGCTTCTGCTCCCATGCAGTTGAAGTGTGCTGCTCTCCCTATATATATATAATGTTCACCAGTCAGAAAGCTCCCCTGGTCTTTTGTATCCAGAGTTTTTATATGGGATGTCATTATATAGGTGTGATTGATTACTTCATTAGCCATTTGATTAAATGCAATTTCCGGTTCCTCTCCCCTCACCAGAAGTCAGAGGTCCGGCTGAAAGTTCCAACCCTCCAATCACATTTGAGGTCTTTCTGGTTTGCCCCCCACAACTCTCCTACCCCCATATGCTCCCTTGCCTCCCAACCGTGTAAGAGCCCACCAGGAGTCACCTTATTAGCATAAACTCAGGTATGATCTAAAGGTGCTTATTATGGAATAACAAAAGACATGCCTGTCACTCAGGAAATTCCAAGGGTTTTTGAAGCTGTGTGTCAGGAACCAGGTTAAAGGCCAGATGTATCCTTATTCTATCCCTGTAAGAGCGTAGGCTCTTTGCCCTTGGGAGCTGGTGTGAGTCGGCTCCAGCATGTCCACTTGACTTTGGATTCTTCTGGAAAGGTTTCAAAAACACTGATTTCTGGGTCTCACCCTCGAGGGTCTGCCTTAATTAGTATGGGGTGCAACCTGGGCCTCACAGTTTTAAAGGCTCGCAGAATATTCCAATGTGCAGCAAATGTACAGATCTGCACTGCCCTTCCCTTCCCTAGAGCCAAGAAGATGGGCCTCTCTCCACACTCCCTAGGGTATAAACCCAAAAGATGAAGAAGCGGAATTAACCTTTTTGGTCTTCTGGGAGATAAGGCAGAGTTTAGCGGGATACCCCCAGCACTATTTAGGAACAGCCATCCTGTTCCCCCTATTGGTGTTTCAAGGAGACCAGGCTTGGCCTGTTTACATAATTCTTTTAGTTGGGTATCTCCATGATTCCTTCTTCCAGGTTCTTCAAGTCTCTACCTATGTGTCACTTATCAATACAACTTCCCTGGTCACTCTTATTTATCTCCATCACATTTGTTGCCATGTGACATATTTCACACACACAAGCACACACACACATACAGTCTCTCTCTCTCTCTCTCTGTCTCTCTCTCTCTCTGTTTAAATAGAAAGTGCCTGGAATATGAATAGCAGTGTTTACCAGTGCCTGAGAGGGCAGTGTTATTGCTGTCATTATCATTTGTATTCTGAAGAATAAGAACCTAGGCTTCCTGGGAGTCAGTTAAGATCTGATTGACATGAGATTTCTGAGTTTGTCATTCTAAGTCAATGGAGCCAATTAAGTCAATAAAGTCAATTCTCAGGAGGCTTAAAGCATTTGCAAAAGTATGTTACATTCTACAAGACTTTAGCTGGCTTAGTGGGAAGGATATGGTTTTGGGAATGTGATACTAGAAGAGAATTCCTCAGGCACCATTTGTGTGTTCCCCTGTAATCCTTCTCTGGGAGGAGACAGAAGGGTATGTGGAACTGTTAAATTAATTGAGCTAGAAGTTCAAAATTCTTCATCCTAATTAAGAACTCTGAAAACTAGAAGAGTTTAAAGATTGATAATGCTTGCATCTCTCTGAGAAGATAATCAGTTATTGTATTAGTCCATTACTGTTGCTATAACAGAATATCACAGACTGGGTAATTTATAAAGAAAATAAATTTATTTCCTTCAGTTCTGAAGGCTGGGAAGTCCAAGGTCAGGCAGCTCATTCTGGTGAGGGCTTCAGGCTGCATCATAACATGGCAGAAGGCATCACAGGGCAATAGGGCATGCAGGAGAGGGAGTCAAACTGTCTTTTATAACAGACTCATTCTGGTGACAGCTAAGCCAGTCCTGTGATAATCCATTAATCCATGAATAGATTAATCTATTAACCACCTCTTAAAGGCCCTACCTCTTAATACTGTTACATTGGGCATTAAGTTTCAACATGAGTTTCAGAGGGGACAAACATTCAAACCGTAGCTGTTACACTTCCCAAATAACGATCCAGGGATGATTCTGAAAATTCTGCTGCAGATCTGTTGTTACCATTCATTCATCCATCCATTCATTCATGAATGCCTGTGTCTATTCAACCAAGGCCTAAAGATGACCTACAAAGACTCTGCCCTCTACTAAGCACTGGTGAGTGAGACCGTGCATTCATGGAGCTTACCATCTAGAAGAGAGCTAGGCATTAGACAAGTAAATACTTGAAGTATTTAATTAAAAATGTAATTATGCACAAGGAAGAAAGATGGGATTTTGTAGGATTGCAATTAAGCGACATAACCTAACCTTGGATTAGGGAAGTTTTGCTGAAAAAGTGACATGGTAAGCTGAAATTTAAAAGATGAGTGGAAGCTGGCATTGATTATGGTCTTCTAAAAATTATTAAGCTTGATTCTCTAGCTGATGGATAAAAATGTATGTTGTGCATAATAGCACAAAATTTAAGCATGCCCACTACAGAAGGGACAAAGAACACATTTTATTATATTTGTCATTCTGTAAAGCCAGAAGAAAAGAATTGAGTTGAGTAATATTTACCCACTGAACAGATACAGTCATCCCTCAGTATCAGTGGAGAATTGGTTCCAGGACTCCTGTGGACACTAAAATCTGTGGTTGCTCAAATCCCTGAAATAAAATGGTGTATAGAAAATGCATATAACTTATGCACATCCTCCTGCACATTTTAAATTATCTCTAGATTACTTACAGTACCTGATACAATGTAAATGCTATAGATATGTTGTTATACTGTATTTTATTTGGGTTATTGTTTTATTGTTGTTTTTATTGTTTTTGTGTTTTTGAATATTTTCCACCTACAGTTGGTTGAATCCATGAATGTGGAACCCATGGACACTGAGGGTCAACTGAACACACAGATGATCCCTGACTAATAATGGTTCAACTTAGATTGTTTGACTTTATGATAGTGTGAAAAAGATATGTATTTAGTAGAAAGCATACTTAAAATTTTGAATTTTGATCTTTTTTCAGGGTAGTGGTATGTAGCTGTAGTGGTATGTGCTCTCTCTCAATGCTGAGCTGCAGCTCCCAGTCAGCCACTGGATCATGAGGGTAAAATACGGATACTTGACATCTTCTTAAAGAACATCATGCCTGCTAAGCCATCCAGTTTGGATGCCCCAGTGCCTTCCACCAGCCATTCTCAAGCCTCATTAGAAGAGAGAGATTGATGACCCTGTAGCTGCAGCATCCCATCATCCTGCATTTTAGTTCAATGCTTCAAACGTTCTTCAGGCCCAGTGTGCTTTCAGCTGTGTATGTTAATGGTGAGTACCCAGGTGATCATATTTTTTCAGTTTCACTACAGTGTTTAATAAATAACATGAAATATTCAATACTTTATTATAAAAATAGGCATTATGGTGGATGATTTTGCTGAACTGTAGGCTAATGTAAATGTTCCAAGTACATTTAAGGTAAGTTAGGTTAAGCTATGATATTTGATAGGTTAGGCGTATTAAGTGCATTTTCAAGTGATGATATTTTCAACTTCAAATGGGTTTATTGGGACATAGCCTGTCTTTGTCCATTTGTATTGCTATAAAGTAATATCTGACGCTGGGCAATTTATAAAGAATAGAGGTTTATTTTGGCTCATGGCTCTGCAGTATGTACCGGAAGCATGGCATCAGCATCTGCTCCTGGTGAAGCCTCAGGAAGCTTCCAATTATAGCAGAAGGTAAACAGGGAGCCAGCATATCACATGGTTAGAGAGAGAGCCAGAGAGGGAAGAGGAGGTGCCAGGCTCTTTTTAACAGTCAGCTCTCACATTAACTAACACAGTGAGAACTTACTCATTAGCATGAGGATGCCACTGAGAGGTGAAGCTGGCTAGGATTCTGGTTCGGATGGGGACTTGGAGAACTTTTGTGTCTAGCTAGAGGATTGTAAATGCACCAATCAGTGCTCCGTGTCTAGCTAAAGGATTGTAAATGCACCCATCAGCACTCTATAAAGTGGACCAATCAGCACTCTGTAAAATGGACCAATCAGCAGGATGTGGGTGGGGCCAAATAAGGGAATAAAGGCTGGCCACCTGAGCCAGCAGGGGCAACACACTCAGGTCCCCTTCCACGCTGTGGAAGCTTTGTTCTTTTGTCACAATAAATCTTGCTGCTGCTCACTCTTTGGGTCCGCACCACCTTTAAGAGCTGTAACACTAACTGTGAAGGTCTGCGGCTTCACTCCTGAAGCCAGCGAGAGCGAGACCACGAACCCACCGGAAGGAAGAAACTCCGGACACATCTGAACATCTGAAGGAACAAACTCCGGACACACCATCTTTAAGAACTGTAACACTCACCACGAGGGTCCACAGCTTCATTCCTGAAGTTAGCAAGACCAAGAACCCACTGGAAGGAACCAATCCCAGACACAGCACCATAAGGGATCCACCTATGACAGAAACATCTCTTACCAGGTCCCACCTCCAACGTTGGGAATCACATTTCAACATGAGATTTGGAGAGGACAAGCTATCCAAACCATCTCGGAGTCCCATGGTGAGTGGAGGAACATCTGAACTGAGACTTGCTATGGAATTCAAATAGGTTTCCACATTTTTACCTGAAAGAGGTATTAAAATAGAAATGTTATTGGCAATTTTGATTTTTTTAAAATTACATGGTTGTCTTTATTATCTTTAATTGATAGTTCAGCAGTAGTTTCTTTGTTGATATAAATTTAGGATGTAGTGTGTCTCAAATTTTGGAAAAATACGCAAGAAAAAGCAGCATAGACATGAGAAAGGAAAAGACAATTTTCTCTCGGTAACCTCAGACACAGGCGAGATATGGCAAAGGATACTATATGGGCTTGAAAGTTTCACGATTCAATAGAGTTTCACCTAATAAAGCGTGATTTGATCTGAACACTACAGGGGCTGGGGTAGAGAAGAGCACTAGGCAGACCCAGCATAAGAGGGAAGAGAAAGACTCTTCAGCGTGAAGAGCCTGAGGGTGCAAAGTACACTTTTGTAGCAATGGTCTGTGCATGGCTCTGGCTATTACAAATCTATTTTAATGTCCATAGATTCTGCATCTTTTAAAAAAGAAAAATAATAAGAAAAAGAAAAATACGCTGGTTGCTCAGACACAAGTGAACAAAGATGCAGATCAGCTATTTAAGTAGGTTGACACACGGCACGTGAGATTTAATTTTGACAATTTCTACTTTGCAAACTATTGTTGCAAGGGAGTGGAGAAGAGGAAAAATGGAGAAAGCACTTCATGGATGAAAGGGGACGCAGTCAGAGTCTATAAAAGGGGTCCCAGAGCCATGGAGCTACCTTCTGTAAAAATGCTTCACGACCCGGCGCGGTGGCTCACTCCTGCAATCCCAGCACTTTGGGAGGCTGAGGCGGGTGGATCACGAGGTCAAGAGATCGAGACCATCCTGGCCAACATGGTGAAACCCGATCTCTACTAAAAATACAAAAATTAGCCAGGTGTGGTGGCGGGCGCCTGTAGTCCCAGCTACTCAGGAAGCTGAGGCAGGAGAATCACTTGAACCTGGGAGGCAGAGGTTGCAGTGAGCCAAGATTGCACCACTGCACTCTAGCCTGGCGACACAGCGAGACTCCGTCTCAAAAAAAAAAAAAAAAGCTCCCAATGGAGGAAGCACTGGGATAGCTGAGGAATGCAGGAGAGACAACTATTGTTTCTGAACAGTAGCAAAGAGAAAAATATTGAGTTTAGAGTGTAAGCATCTGTAGAAGATCAAGCAAGGGAATAAATGCAATGGCATCATTCAACTTTAGGAACTCTGAGGATATTTGACCAATTTCTGACTTTTTTTTTTTTTTTGAGACAGAGTCTCACTCTGTCGCCCAGGCTGGGGTGCAATGGTGCAATCTTGCCTCACTGCAACCTCTGCTTCCCGGGTTCAAGCAATTCACCTGCCTCAGCCTCCAGAGTAGCTGGGATTACAGGCATGCACCACCACACGTGGCTAATTTTTGTTGTTGTTGTTGTATTTTCAGTAGAGATCAGGTTTCACCATGTTGGCCAGGCTGGTGTTGAACTCCTCACCTCAGGTGATCCACCCACCTCAGCCTCCCAAAGTGCTAACATTACAGGTGTGAGCCACCATGCCCAGCCCCATTTGATTTTATAAGCAAAATTATATCTAGTTCTAAATTATTCCAGACTAATGGGTATTTACTATATCCTTGCATGCCAGCATATAAAATGTGCTTAGCGAGACAGAAAGTGGTTAATAATTCTTCCAACCTTGATGCAAAGATGGTGAGGACAGAGTTAAGAATAACTAACATTTATATGGGACTTACCATGTGCCAGGCATGGTTTTGAGTGTTTTATGTTAATTTACTTACACCATATTCTTTTTTTTTTTTTTTTTTTTTGACAGGGTCTCACTCTGTTGCCCAGGCTGGAGTGCAATGGCTTGATCATGGCTCACTGCAGCCTTCACCTTTGGGGCTCAAACAATCCTCCTGGCTCAGCCTCCCATGTAGCTGGGACCACAGGCATGCACCACCACACTTGGTTAATTTTTAATTTTTTTTTGTAGAGACAAGGTCTCACTTTGTTGCCCAGGCTGGTCTTGAACATCTGAGCTCAAGCCATCCTCCCATCTCAGCCTCCTAAAGTGCTCGGATTACAGGTGTGAGCCACTGCACAGCCACCACTTTCTAATATTAAAAGGGATGGATTGCGATTTTCCCTATTTTATGTTTGCCCAAATTGATATATTAAAAGGCTACCTTTTTCTCAAGGTCAGAGAGCCTAGTGGCAGAGCTAGGATAAACCTGAGAAATCTGACTCCAGAGTTTAATTCTTTTTTTTTTTTTTTTTT
Organism: Homo sapiens; assembly: GCF_000001405.40. NCBI lineage: Eukaryota > Metazoa > Chordata > Mammalia > Primates > Hominidae > Homo > Homo sapiens. Next base: position 6,931,562 of record NC_000010.11, on the reverse strand, counting down.
TTTTTTGAGATAGAGTCTTGCTCTTGTTTCCAGGCTGGGGTACGGTGGCATGATCTTGGCTCACTGCAACCTCCACCTCCCAGGTTCAAGCGATTCTCGTGGCTCAGCTTCCCAAGTAGCTGGGACTATAGGTGCCCGTCACCATGCCTGGCTAATTTTTTGTATTTTTAGTAGAGATGGGTTTTCACCATGTTGGCCAGGCTGGTCTCGAACTCCTGGCCTCAGATAATCTGCCTGCCATGGCCTCCTAAGGTACTGGGATTACAGGCATGAGCCACCACGGCTGGCCCAGAGTCCAATTCTTAACCATCACGCCATGTTGTCTCCTTCTGATACAGCAGAGCCCATTCTCCCATATTGGTAACATTTTCCTTAGAATATCAATGGACAGGTCTATCTGCACAGTGACTCAAGTGCAAAAACTGGAGCTTCTTCCACACTTTAACACATTACAATGCCAGTGAAAATAGGCATCTATTCCTGTACCCTTATGTATCTCACATGTCTTTATAGAATTGGGTTGACAACTTGGAACCATTCTAAATTCTGAACATTCTAGAACATTCCAATTCTGCGTTATGTGTCATCCAGCAGATGAGGAAAGAAAATCAAAAGCTTTAGGATGATAAATTCCTTTATTATCTTGTCCCTTAACTTCTATCTTCTGACCTAACTTCTAGGAACAACTCTCCTCTTGTACTGTACGCAATAGTTCTACTTAAAGACTGTTCCATGAAAGGAACAAGCTCTCATGACTCTCCATGCCTTCACCAATGGGCTAATTGCTGAACACATTCACTAGTTTTTTTTTGGAGAATATAAATTACTGTGGTCAGTAATCAAAAGCCAATGGACAGTGTTTCTCTTGAGTGGCTGTATTACCAATCATGCTTTATTTTTATTCTCCTTCCTTCCTTCCATAGGGGAGGAAAGACTTTTTCTCTCTCCTGTTAGGTTCTGTGGTTGGTCCTGAGAATTAAATAGACAAAAGACAGGTTAATAGGAGGGAAAGCATACAAATGTTATTTGATACTAATGTGTTTATGTGTATATGGGGCCTTTCATATGTAAGAAATGAGAATTCAAAGAGGTGAAAAGGCACAAGAACCTATATATCATTTTAACAGATAATAATAAATTATGGAGACATGGACAGTCAAGGGAGAAAGGGGTTTGGGTTTGGGGAGGCAAACCATGGGACAGTTACTAAGAAATACATAGGGAAAATTAATGGAAGGCAAATATAATTTTAGTAGGCTTGTTTGTATGGATTCATCTCAGCTTCGACTCCCCATCTCTGACAAAAATTCTCTCCTCTTCCTGGCACCTGGGGGGTACTTTTCTTACAGAAAATTTATGCCCCACTTTTATATACATAGAAAGTGGGGAGACAGCTCTTCCTGGATCTGCTATTTCTCAATCATCTTCAGCTCTAAATAATCTTCCTGGATCTGCTGTTTCTTGATCATCTACAGCTCAAAATAATCAATGTCCCAAAATAATATATTTTGGGGTGGCATACTATGACCCCTTTCACGTGTTTTCTTCTCATCTTTTTCTTCCTTTCTTTCATTCTTGTCCTTCTTTCATCTTTTTTCTCTTTTCTTTTTTCTATTTTTTGTAGCCTCTGGTTGTTTTTACATCACATTTTAACTAAATAAAGCAATAAAACTGTTTCTTCTGATTGTTTTTGCAGCAAGTATTCATCACATTTATAACTAAATAAGACACTAAAATGATTTCCATCTTGAAGAAAAAAGTGCTTCAAAATAAACACAATGATACCTTAAAATTGAACCACAATTTCTACCTGTTTCTCTTCCAATTGTTTGTTGAGGTTTCTGATGAGAATCGCTGGGTTGGCTTGGCAGAGAGACAGATCCTGAAGCATCTATTTCTGTTTTCTGCTTCTGTTTTGGCTCGAATTCTGGGTCTACCAGTAGTCTAAATGACCTCCACTTCCTCACTTTGACTCTACATACGTCTGACTGGCTGTGTTTGAGCCTGCCATACAAACAGAGGTGTGCAGTTCTCTTTAAACACCACTGTTCCATATATTTTCTTTCATACGATATTGAGTTAGACTCAGCAACCACCCCAATTATTCTGCCAGTTTTTCTTTATTATGCTTGACAACTACTTGGTGAGAGAATGGATTTTTCTTTGTGAAGTCAGCACACAGCCGCCGGTTGATTCTCTGAGAGAACAAGATATTTCACGAGTAACTGGATAAATGGGCCAACCTGACAGGACAGCAGGCCCTTGCCTCCAACAGTGCAAGAGAGCCTCTGTCAAGAGACCATGGCATTCCTCCCGTTTGGGAACTGATGACAGGATGGCTACAGTAAGCTGCAGCCAGATATTCTGCTAAGGAAACGAATAAGCAGAGAGATGAATATTTTGTATGCTTCCCATGTGTTCAGCTCTATCAGGCAGTCTCTCACACTTTATCTAATACATCTTCTCTGCTCTTCTTGACATAAAATTATCTTAAATTTTTACATGCAGAAAACTTATATATAAGGAACTAAAAAAATTAATCTGTTTAAAAGTTATACAGTGCGCAAGTGAGAAGCCAGATTTCAAAGAGAAACCAAACCTCTTGGAAACTTTGAAGGCCGACAGCATGGAGGTGGTTTGAGTGGACCCCAAACGGATGTGAACTGCCTCCTGACACTGGCCCAGTAAATGACTGGTTGTGGTGTACTGAGATAAACACTTTTAATTATTTTAAATATGAAGTAAAATCTAGAAAAAAATGTCCAGCAGAAAAAAAAAAAAAAAAAAACAACAACCAGCTCTTCTGGTTGTCATGGAGATAAGCCATTTAGCACTGCAAAGCCTTCCATGGGGAAGCAACGGCAATGGAGATTTCCAACTCCCAAGAACCGCATTCAAGGAGAGTTTCAACTTCCACTTGTCTTCCGAGGTCTGTTGTCTCTGAAAAAAAAATTTGTTGGGGAGGTAGGTATTTAAACTCATTTCCTGGGATAGAAAATCTAAGTAGCACATGCATATCCACAGAGCTTTGTTTCAGGACCCATAATGGGAACAAGTTTCCATTTCCTGTGAGGTGTGTACATAGTGTGTGTGTGTGTGTGTGTGTGTGTGTGTGTGTGTGTGTTAGAGAGAGAGAGAGCACCAATGAGCTCTCTAGAAACCATCGGAAGTGCCAGCTTGTAGAAGTAAACATAAAGCCCAGGCAAAGGACGAAAGAGAAAAAATTAGTTTGTCTCTAAAAGGAAACAGCCTTTAGATAGGAATGCATGTGAATCAGAAGAAACATGAAACTCTCATTCCTGGCTATACCATCTGCCCCACTTGTGAGGCACCGGCTAATTGTTGAGACACTGCTAGTGAAAATTGTGCAGGTTCACAGACTCTTAGGCAGCTGCTGTTTAGGGAAGTGTGGCGGCCGAGGGCCGACCTGGACTTCCGTTCTGGGAACTGGGGCTTCTCAGGAGAGTGGGTTTAGGGTAGCTGTGGCATGGAGGGTCCACAAGTTTCAGAAAATAGTGCCAGAGTGAAGTTACACTGGAGAAGAAGAGGTGGTCATACTACGGCATTCATTGCAAGGATGGAGACAAGGAGGTGAAGGCAGGCGGAGGCCCAGGTGCCAACTGATAGAGACAGGAGTACAGAGAAGACATGAGGGAGGATGGATAGAAGACAGAGTGGCTGAGGTTCCCTGCTGTGCTGAAGTTTTCAACGCAGTGCCTAAGCCTTAGCCCTTGGGTGGTGGGGAACAAGTCAAGCACACAAGGGGAATTAGAGAAGACCCACGCCTCCTTCTCTAGACGTGGAGGCAGGGAGTCAGGGAGGGCACATGGTTCATGTGGGTGCACACAGGAAATGAGAGAACGGAAACCACAAGTCAAGGGGCTTGCTGTCTTCTTGTCTGTTTGGATAAAAATAGAGCTACTGACTCAGCAGACAGTTTTCAACCTACCTTCAAGGCTCCCTGCTATAATTTTTTATTTCATTTCTTAATTTAAATTAGTTGATCACAGAAAAAGGCAGGTGATTTAAGCAGACCATATACTTCATTTAAGTCAAGGAACCATCATTGACACACCTAGCATTGTTGCATGCATATTCGTTGAAAATTCATCCATGAACTAACCATCATGATTAGGTACTGGTGATGGACAACTAAAATGATGGTAACTAAGTTAATGTACATTCCATATGTTATTCATTTCCAACATTTTTGATAAAGTAAGGAAATGGATAAGAGGGATACATTTTCAAGTCTGATAATGAAATAGATGTGCAAAACTGACAGTGGGACATATGTGGTTTTCAGAAGGAAAATGTTCATGAAAAAAGAGCTTCTCCATGATGGTCAAATGACAGGAAAGAAGCTGCATGCAGATGAGAAGAACTAGCACAAAGGGGAGTGTGAGAAGATGGGATAGCGGAAGCAGAGGTTGCATCAAACACTCGGAAGAGATCTTCTTATGAACATGACTATATCCATCAGTGTTTTCTCCTTCTTCTCCTAAAGAAGCAAGCAGACAAACAAACAAAAAACTAGAAGAATTTCCTAAGTCCTGCAAATTCAACTGTCCATGAAATTTAGAAATCAGATGATATGCTGACTTCAAAATACCTGTAGGGACTTTCAAAAGCCCCAAATAAGGCAGAAGCAGATGGAAGGAAGAGCAGTAGGAAAGAGTAGGAAAAATCAGAAGCTCAGAGAGTAATGAGTGGACTCATAAGAAGGAAAATTCAGGAAGATCCATAAAAATGCAAAAACTGATAGTCTGGTAGTACAAGAGCTATATTTCTCATTTGCAACAGTGGATATCTTGTGCCAGGACAAGGAAAGCTGGTGGTAGAAGTCACGATGGCCCCAGAAATGGAAATCCAGTCTCACACAGAAGAGCAATATTCACAGTGAGCATTCTGTTTCTGTGGCAGTGAAGGAATAAGCCCTTTGCTGTGAAGCCAGGACTGCCCTGCTTTGTCTCTGCCTATAGGACTAGTCTGCCAATAGCTGGGTCATAAAAAACCAAGTTTTTAATGATAAACAGTAAGAAAATTTATTGTGAATAAATATGTGGAAAAGATCTGCAAAGCTTTCCAACTGATACGGATTATTCTCCTAAAAACAGTGCCACTGAGCAAAGATGAACTGCAACCAAACATTTTGCCAGATTTTAAGGAGCATAATGAAGCAATTACTACTAAGAAGGAATGCCACAAAGTGGAAATGTAATAATTCCAGGAGAATGCCGAGAGACAACTGCAGGTTATAAGACAGGAATGAGGAGAACTCAGAAAATAAATAGAAGAAAAAGCGAAACCGTCATAGAAACGAAAAGGAAATCCAGTGGTCACAAGAGAGAATCGACGGCGTGATAAAAAGACAAAGAGTCCTGAAGGATAGAAATGAGAAAAATAAAGTAATATAGTAACATATAGTGAAAAAGCCCTAGAAAGAAAATGATAGATGTAAAATAAATGTCACTGGATTTTTTCTTTCTTTCTCTCTCTTTTCTTTCTTTTCTTTCTTTCTTTCTTTCTTTCTTTCTTTCTTTCTTTCTTTCTTTCTTTCTTTCTCTTTCTTTCTTTCTTTCTTTCTTCTTTCCTTCCTTCCTTCCTTCTTTCCTTCCTTCCTTTCTTTTTTTTTGACACAGAGTCTCGCTCTGTCACCCAGGCTGGAGTGCAGTGGCGCCATCTCAGCTCACTGCAACCTCTGCCCCCTGGGTTCAAGTGATTCTCCTGACTCTGCCTCCTAAGTAGCTGGGATTACAGGTGCGTGCCACCACACCTGGCTAATATTTGTATTTTTAGTAGAGGTGGTTTCGCCATGTTGACTAGGCTGGTCTCAAACTCCTGACTTCAAGTGATCCACCCTCCTTGGCCTCCCAAAGTGCTGGATTACAGGTGTGAGCCACTGCTCCCGGCCAGAATTTTCAAAGATGAGTGAAATAGAACAAATAGGCAAGGCATAAGTTAAATAAAATGAAACAAATCTGCATGCTGAACAGGCATACTATGAGCCAGAAAATACTCACTGCAAATTGTCAGCATCAAAATATAATTTTGTGAAATTGTTGAACTAGAAAAAGGAAAGGAGACATCTTTGGGAAGCCAGGTAAAAATACTGTCACTAAAACAAGGGAACAAATAGGGCTGGCTTTAGATGTTTCCAGAGCAACATGAAGACCGAGAAACAATGCTTATAAGACATAGATGAAAATAAATTGTGGGCCAAGGATTTTCATGAGGCCAAGCTCTCTTTATAGTATAACCAATGCCAAAAAAGAGTTTCGATCTGCAAACCTCAGATTATATTTTTCCTATAAGCCTATGTTGGGATAACTGCTGAAGAATGAGGTTTCTTCAACTAAGAGATGACTAAGAAACTGAGGAAAGTATAGCAAAAGGACTAATAGTAGTGCATGAATATGTTTAACTGTACAAATAAGACTGAAATGGTGGGGGATCAGTGAGGCAGGATAAAATACCAATGGTATATGCCCAAACAAGGTATAAATGCTATGAGTGATAAACGTAGGAGAGGAAGAGGGAAAGAGTATGAGTAGATAGGTTTGCTAATTGCTTCATCTATAAAGCTAGATATCAAAGGTATCATTTAAAACTCACAAACCAGGAAATAGAAGCAGTAGCATATTTCATACTACATAGTTAAGTACCAAGAAAGGTAATACTATTAAATGAAATTGGGTCATGGAGAGTAGGGAGGAGGAGATAAGGAGATAATAGCTATGAACTAAAGAGAGTGCTGGTGATAATGCATAAATTTGCAATTGTAAGGGTAATCAACCATTAAACAAAAATATTTTTTAACTCTGTGATGAAAGTACTATTCATGGAGTGCATAGTAAAAGACCTTTAAGTATCACGAACACATAAACATAAAAGGTAGAACTAAAGCTTGACATATCTATCACATTAACAAGTTAAATGAGTTTAACTTATCTATTAATACAAACGGATTTCAGGTTGGATCAAAACCAAACACAACTCGATGCTGAATGAAAACAGCATTCCTAAAACAGAGCTTCAAAATCATGGAAATAAAAGTATATAAATATAAAATAACAGATAGAGATACGCTAGTCAAATGCAATTGAGAAGAAAATGATCACAAACTTTCATATCAGACAGCATGGAGTTCAGGCCAGAACAAGACGGACAAGGGCACTTTGTAATGCCAACTTGTGTGAGTCATAATGAAAACACATTAGCCCTGCTCTAAATATGAAATAACAGCCACAGTCATGAAGCAGGATTAAAGGAGACACAAGAAATCGAAGCAAACTGGTAGAAGGAAATCTTAATTTATCTCTGTCAGTCATGACAGTTCAAGTACAAAAGAAAATATGGATACAGTAGTTCTAAATAACATTACATGATTGATCAATATGTATCTAACATTCTATCCTGAAGACACTGAATAAACCCCTTTCAAAGTGGCCCCAGTGCTCTCAGTACACATTGTATACCCACATACAGTATACATTGGGCCACAAAGATATCCTAAATAATGCCCCCAAACTACAAAGAATACAGGCAGTTTTCTCTGATCACAATGCAGTAAGACTAGTAGTTAATGAAATTGGATAACTAAAAGTTCTTTCAACCTTTAAAATATATATAATATTTATATTTAAAATATTTATATTTATATTTAAAATATTTATATATATATTTAAAATATATGTATATTTTAAAACTCTATCTCCTAATTAGTGACATGCTAAAAAAAAAAAAGCCCCATATCTTGAGTAATTATTGGATAAAAGGAGAAATACAAATGAAAATTGGAAAATGTCTAGCTACACACCACCCAATGAGGTTGCCATGAGCCATGTGTGGCTTTTTTTTTTTTTTTTTTTTTTTTTGACGGAGTCTCACTCTGTCACCAGGCTGGAGTGCAGTGGCGTGATTTCAGCTCACTGCAACCTCCACCTCCCAGGTTCAAGCGATTCTCTTGCCTCAGCCTCCCAAGTAGCTGGGACTATAGGCGCGCACCACCACGCCCAGCTAATTTTCATATTTTTAGTAGAGACGGGGTTTCACCATGTTGGCCAAGATGGTCTCGATCTCTTGACTTTGTGACCTGCCTGCCTTGGCCTCCCAAAGTGCTGGGATTCCAGGCATGAGCCACCATGCTTGGCCCGTGTGTAGCTATTTAAAATTAAATTTAAAAGTCAAATTAAAAATTAAGTTCCTCACCTCACAAATACCAGCCGCATTTCAAGTTCTCAATACCCACAGATGGCCAGTGACATTCCCCTTATCCCAGAAAGTTCTACTGCATAGCACTGATCTAGAACATAACTAGAATAAAAACATGACAGGGGAGGATGTATCCAGCACAGCTAAAGCCATGCACAATAACCTCCTCATAACAGCAACAAGAACATATGCCAAAAAATGAGGGAAAACAAACACATTTCTATCTTATCCAAAATGTTAGAAAAAGAACTACAACACAAGCCTTGAATGAAGATAAAAGCAGAATTTAATGAGTTAGAAAATAGAGGAACAGTAGCCCTAATAAATAAATCTATAAACCGTTTATGAGAAAAACATATAAGCTGAAAAACCTACTTTTTGCAAAGGGTAAACATACAATATAAAATTTAAAAAAGAAATGGAAAAGGGAATATAACCAAAATAACAGAGATGATTAAATGAATGAGACTACTTCCCTCAAATCTCCGGAAATGATTTGAAAACCTGAAGGAGATAAATACTATTGCTGGAAAAATTTTAAAGTAATTATATTAATACCCAAATGTTATGAAATTTAAGAAAACCAACCTATCAACAAATCTCACTTATGAATAGTGATTCCAAAACTCTAAATAAACGTGAACAAACAGAATTCAGCAACACATTAAAAGAATTCTAATCAAGTAGGGCTAAGGCTAGAATTTCAAAGCTGATTCAGTATTAGGAAATCGATATAATTTGTCATCTTAATAGAAAAATCACATCACTATCTACATAGTCTCTCAAAGGCATTTAAAAAATTTCAATAAATTCTTGATGAAAATAATAAAGTAGAAATACATGAACACTTTAATATAATACTTTATATAATAAATATAAAACTTCTTTAATATAATAAAATATTGGTATCTCAATTCAGAAGCCAGTACTAGAGACATTTCCATTAAATATCAGGATGAAATCAGGAATGCCCACTAATGTTATTATTATTTAATATTTCACTGTAGAATTATATATAAAATTTGTTGAAAAAATTGAGATTTAAAAGTGGAACAGAAAATGTAAAACCATTACTATCTGCAGATGACAATAAAACTAAATATTTGGAAAACTGAAGTCAACTCATTGATCAATTTTAAAAACTATAAGAGAATATACTAAAGGAATAAGGTATAAAATTATTACACAGAAATCAATAGCTTTCATATATATTAACAGTAGCCCGTTAGAAGATATAATGGAAGCAAAGAACCCATTTACAACAGCAACCCAGAGATAAAATACATAGGAATAAACTCAACACAACATGTGCAAGATTCAGATGAAAAGCATTAAAATGACCATCATCTGCTCCTAGACCCAACAGTTACACTTCTGGCCATTTATCACATAGATGTCCGGGCACATATTGAAAAGATATATTTTGAGATTATTAGTTACAGCACTGTCTGTAATTGCAGACAGGAAATAATCTAAGTATCTAGTAATAAAGAACTAGTTCATAAAATACGGTATATGATTTACCCAAGTAATGGGCTATCACACAGCTGTAAACCAGAATAAGAGAGCTTTCTATAGGTTGATACGGAAAGCTCTCCAACCTATAGTGTTATTTTAAAAAGCAAGAGGTGGAATAGTGTGAACAGAGTTTCTCTTTTTTGTGTTAAAAAGGAAAAAAAAATACGGTTGTTTATTTACTTTTATTTGTATGCCTTCCTACTCTGAAAGGATACATAAAAAATTCATGACAATGGTAACGTGTAGATGAGTAGCAGGCATTTGTAAGAGCCTTTTCACTGTATTCCTTTAAATACATTTTTAATTTTTTAAACTATGTGTGTGAATTAGCTATTCAAAAATAAATAAAAAATATTTAGGAGAAATACACAAAGAGTTTAGAGAATGGTGCATGGCAGCCTAACTTAGGTTGTTTTTTTAAAAAACAAACAAACAAACAAACAAAATTATTTTTTAACTCAGAATTGGGAGGCCGACCATGCATATTACAGGGCGGAGGCATTTAGAAGACTGCTGATCTTTGACCCAAGATCCCCTGCAAAGGTTTTTTCGTTTTGTTTTGTTTTCTGAGACAGAGTCTCCCTCTGTTGCTCAGGCGGGAGTGCAGTGGCGCGATCTCGGCTCACTGCAACTTCCGCCTCCCGGGTTCAAGCGATTCTCCTGCCTCAGCCTCCCCAGTAGGTAGGACTACAGTCGCGTGCCACCACACCCGGCTAATTTTTTGTATTTTTAGTAGAGACTGGGTTTCACCATGTTAGCCAGAATGGTCTCAATCTACTGACCTCGTGATCCGCCCGCCTCAGCCTCCCAAAGTGCTGGGGTTACAGGCCTGAGCCACTGTGCCCGGCCTCTTTGTTTTTTTGTTTTTTTTTCTGGAACCTAGCTTTAGGTGAAAAACACTTGCTCTAATTTTCTGGCTTGCTGCAGTCAGCAGAATGCTTCAACAAACGGCCTGGACAGTTGCCGGGTATCCCCATAGAACAGGCTGAGTTTTCCAAGACGTCCCATTAGTTCTTGCTGCCTGCAGAGGCATTCAGAGACAGCAACATTGAATGTGGAAAGACAAGCCCAATAGCACTGGTATCAGCTATTTTTCTTGTAAAATACCGTATTTTGATGTGACGCTATTGAACCTTAATGTTTAATGACTTCTGCAACACACCTCTATCCGGCGAAGCCATCTGTATTTGGGCTAATGTGCCCACTTTTCTGTTTACTCTGCATACATTATCTTTACTTAAGGTTTAGGGGGAGATATATCTATTTGGACATCTGTTCTTAACTGATTATAGGGAGAGTGAGCAAGTTTCGTCCTTGTGCCTGCATCTGCTGGGAAACGATAAGAGCCCAACATATGTTAGAAGCAACAATCGCAGACAAAGAGTACAACTTGTTTTTGAAGGTATGTAAACCCGAAGTTTAAGAGGCTGGGAGTTGCTGCCTTTGTTCCCTCCCATCTTGAGTATTAGCTCTATTTAAAATAACAAATATTCTAACGTGTGGCAGGACAGAGTCGCTTTTTTGCTTTGGAAAGGAAAGTGCACAGCTTGTGTGAACATTCACCCACTACCCTAGCTCTGCACCCTGCCCCGGCTCCTAAGGCGAACGCCCACGTTACCTCCGCTGTTGCTTCAGAGGGCTGCTGCCATCTATGGGCGTCTGTCAGCATCTGCGCAGGTGCGATGTCTCCGAGTCGAGACACATAGGGAGAATACGGGGCACAGAAGGGGAGCGTATGGAAGTCAGGGGACAAACAGCTCAAGAGCCATCCTCTAAGCCTGCGACCCAGCTCTTTCCAACGATCCTTCGGGTGAAATAAGATGATCCACTTCAACAGATCCATGGTGGGAAAAGGAGAAACCCCCCCAAAAAATCACACCCCTGCATATCAGTTAGACTCCTGGGGCTCTAACCATCCTGACTTTTCAAATGAGAACATTTAAACACCACCTTGTACTTCCCAGCATAGGACCTGTCTGTCTGTAAGTATATTCCATGATAATATTGCAACAAAGAATATATGATTTTTAAATTAGTTCTTTTTTTTTCTTTTTTTTTTTTAATTCAGACAGAGACTTACTCTGTCACCCAGGCTGGAGTGCAGTAGCATGATCTCGGCTCACTGCAACGTCTGCCTCCTGGGTTCAAGCGATTCTCGTGCCTCAGTCTCCCGAGTAGCTGGGATTACAGGCGCACGTCCGTGTCCAGATAATTTTTGTATTTTTAGTAGTGACAGGGTTCCACCATGTTGGCCAGGCTGCTCTCAAACTCCTGGCCTCAAGTGATCTGCCTGCCTTGGCCTCCCAAAGTGCTGGGATTACAGGCATGAGCCACTGTGCCCAGCCTGAATTAGTTCTTAAAAAGTATTTATTTCACTTGCTTATATCCTGTAAATCCTAGAATCACAAACTCTATTAAGTGTTGGGGACTCTATAAAGCAAACAAGCCCACACTTTAACCCCAAGAACGTATTTTAAGATATCCTGGACAAGGAGCCCTCCAGCCTGTGTGTAATGGCTAACTGATGTGTCAACTTAACTGGGCCATGGGTTGCCCAGATAGCTGGTCAAACATTATTCTAGGTGTGTCTGTTTTGGGATTTAAATCAACAGACAGAGTAAAGCCAATTGCCTTCCTAATATGGGTGGGCCTCATCTAGTCCACTGAAGGCCTGAATAGAACAAAAAGGTTTACCTTTCTCCTATTAAAGGAGTTCCTCCTGCTTGATAGCCTTCCGACTGGGATATGGGTTTTTTTCTTCCCTTCAGACTCAAACTGAAACACTGGCCCTTCCTGAGTCTCAAGCCTGCTGGCCTTTGGGCTGGAACTAAACCCTCAGCTCTCCTGTGTCTCCAACCTGCCCGCTCTGCCTAGTGATCTTGGGACTTCCCAGACTTTATAATCATGTGAGCCGATTCCTTATAATTAAATCTCTTCGTATATTAACACACATCCTGTAGGCTCTGTTCTCTGGAGAACCGAGCTAATATGCTGTGTTAAAGCATTTTCAGAGATAAGAAACTCATGTGCTAAGTGAGTCCAAGGCCAAGCAGTTAGCCCATCAGAGAACCAAGAGCTGGACTGGGAAATTTTGTCTTCTCATGGCCTTGCCTGTATTCATCCCTCCATCCTTCTACTCCTCCCTTTATTCAGCAAGCATTTGTTACATAGAGCTAACAATTGAGCTACTTTACAATTTGCTTAAAATAAATATTTTGCAATGACCTCCTTGCCTACAACCCCAATCACACTCAGCATTTCAGTAGCACACAATACAGTTGTGCCCGCCTTCCCCAACAGCACCCCCTGCTGGTTTTCCTCCTACTTCATCAAGGGTCCTCTCGGTTCTCTTTGCTGCGTCTTCCTCAGGTACGTGACATAAATGTCACGGGGTAACAGGCTCCAGTCTGGCCACCTTCTCTTCTCTACCTGCACCTTCCCGTTAGGTGCACTCATCCCTTCTCATGGCTTTAAATGCCTTCCACATGTTGAGTCCCAGACTTACATTTCTGACCCTAAACTTACCTCAATGCTCCAGATTTGCATATTCAACTGTCTACTGTGTAGATATTGACTGAGTGACTTAAATTTAACACATTCCAAACAGAGCTTTTGATTTTCTCCGTTTATACCCAAGCTGTGCTCAACCACCTTGGGGACGTGTCGTCAGGCCCTCCTGAGGCTGTGTCATGGCCGTGCCCTTAATCTTGGCAAAATACACTTTCTAAATTGTTTGAGACCTGTCCCAGACGTTTCAGGTTTACATCCCCTACACTTCATCCACATTGGCTTAGCTCCTTCCTGCCCGTCTATTCCCTCTACTTAGAACGGTCTTGTACTACCTCCTTTCATGTCTGACGTCTAGTCGTTCAGGCCTCAGTTTTGCTATTATTCCACAGAGAATCCCTCCCTGACCTTGTCCCTGTCATTGTCATTGATGTTTATTTCCTTCCTAGCCCTTTGCACATTCTGAAATGGTTTCTGCTTTTATCTGTTTGTATCTCTGCCCCCAACACACACACTAGAATGTAAGTTCATCCTGTTCCCAATTATTTTATAAAACCAATAGATGCTCAGTAATGTTCACCGAATGGGTAACAAATGAATCCATCTCAAAAGGTATTGGGAAACACTAAAACACTACTTTTCAGGGTCCCCAGAGGCAGATAGCAAAAGAAGCAGGGTCTAGTGCCGTGTCCCCAGCGAACTCTGCCTCTCACTGAGCCCTCCTTCAGTCTTCCATATTTTTTAGGAACCTCCTGCTTTGGCCTTGGCATTGCCACTGTATTGGCCTTAAGGTTTGTCCCCTGATTAAAGAAAGAAATTTGCCTTTAAACAGCACAAATTCTCCTTTGCAGTGAAATTAGGGTTAAACACTGTCAACATAGCAGCATTTCACTCCGAGGGACGATATGTACCAAATTGGATCACATGGCTGGTGTGGTTTGTTGGTGATCCAAGCCATGTTCATTTTTTAAATGAACTTGTGAAAGCATCCGAGCCTCTGAGTGAAATCAGCACGCACTTGCAGCTTCCATTGCCTTCAGCTTTGTTCCTCTAAAACCATGACGTCACACTTGTTTTTTTTTTTTTTTTCGGATCCAGAAATCTTGCTTCATCTCCTTGTTTTGATGTGTGTTGTTAATGTGCACTGTGAAGTGACTATTGTCTTCTGCTCCATTTGTGGAAATTGTAGCTCTTTTAGATATCATATGAGCACTGGAAAGAGAGACTTAAAATGCACCTTGTCGTTCCCTGAAACATGTTATCTTATGTACCCAAACTTTGGTTTTCTCTCCGGTGATGAAGTGTGGGTCATAACTTCTTCCCCCTACATTTTAAAGGATCAAGTGAAATCACACATGGAAATGCATTTTGGAATCTGTGAAGTCATATGTCAATTGCTTATTGTTGTAATTTTACTTATAGTAAGACATTTAAAAAATGACATCGTGGTATGGTTGCGAGGTCACTGGGCCAGGAAACAGAAACCTTATGCCTGGCATTGGTCTTGAAACCACACTGAGACACAGGGTCTTGACCTTGAAAATGAGGAACTAGATGAAATCATCCTGCATGTCTAGGAAACTCTAATATGTAAAGCTTTGCCATTATACATAGGGCTTCAGGTACTAAAATGAGGAAACAGTGTCTTCTTTCTTCTTCAAATCTCCATACACTTCATCTATAGGAAAAATGACATTCCATTAAATTGCATAGAAATAAATTGCTCAGTAATTTCGTACTTACTATTGCATACTTTTTAGCACCCACCGTCTGCCAGGCACTCTCATAATAATTCAAGCTTTTATTCTATATGACTTTGAAAGCAGATTTACTTTACATTATCTCATGTGATTTTCTGAAATGCCTTCAATGGAGGGTAGGACCGAGATTACTAGGCCCACTTTACAGAAAGAGAAGTGGAAGGTAAGAGAAATTAAAGGAGCTGCCCAGTTTCACAGATCTAGTAAGCAGGCATCCAGGTTTGGTCCCAGTGATCTTGGACTTAGCAAAACTGGTGTTTTTTCAACTTTGATGGATAGATTTGTGACATGGTCTCTGTCCTTAAGATGGGAATCTTCGAAGACAGCTCTTAAAATTTGGTAGATACACCTCCTGTAAAGGAACAAGGTTACAAAGTCGCAACCT
This sequence comes from Homo sapiens, assembly GCF_000001405.40. Taxonomy (NCBI): domain Eukaryota; kingdom Metazoa; phylum Chordata; class Mammalia; order Primates; family Hominidae; genus Homo; species Homo sapiens. The sequence goes on along the minus strand of NC_000010.11, from coordinate 6,916,178 downwards.
TTGGATGTACCAAGAAAATGTAGTTTCTTCCTCTTTTGAAGCTGCTCTATGAGTTTCTGCCTACTAGAAAGAAGAGAAAATGAATATACAACATAATTTTTCTCATTTGGCTTGATTCAAGGAGTTAAACAAGGTCTACAGGTGTAACTCAGCCATTTGGGGCTACTTTCTCATTCTTTCCATTCTGTCCCTCCTATTTGGCCCTGAGATATTGTCTAGGACTTGGAAGAAGGTGGAGTGGGGAAGAAAGCACTTGCCCTCGTGTGGTCTTTGGGTGTGTGCTGGGTTTTGTCTTCCGAGCTGGCCCAAGTTCCATTCTGGGATATCCTGATGGGTCTACTGTTGATGTCTGCAGTTGGTAAAGTGGTGAGCTATCATTTTTCCATTCATGCAGAGCTGGGGGCCCTTCCCTGCTAAGTGTACCTCTTTCAACTCTCACTGGCCCTCCAGACTCCTCTCAACTTGCCTCTGTTCTCTTCGTCTTGCATTCAGGGCCTGCCCTACATATCCAATCTCATCTAAATCCATCACCTGCCTCAACTTCTTGAAGCTCTGCATGCCACGAGAGTCATCGTTCCTGGCTACAGCCCATTAGGGGACACTTAACCCACCCATGTAGCCTGTGACCAGATTCTCTCTCTCTCTCTCTCTCTCTGTCTCTCTCTCTCTCTGTCTCTCTCTCTCTCTCTCTGTCTCTCTCTCTCTCTCTCATCTCTCTCCTCTCTCTTCTCTCTGTCTCTTTCCCCTCAAGAAATTGAGCAAAGGACACAGAAACAGGTCAGGAGATTGAGCTGAAAGATCCTTTATCAGGACTGGTACCTTGGCAAGTTGAAGCCATATGCACACTTAAGTTGCATGGAAGCAGAGAAATCCTGAGTAGTAATAACAGTGATGGCCACTGTTTATTGAGCATTCATCACGGCAGGTGCTATGTGAAGTGTTTGACATGTGTTATTTAATTTTTATAACCGCCATCCAGATATATGTCTGTCTATCCATCTATCTATCTATCATCTAAAGAAAGAAAATTACTGTGACCACCCAACAGATGAGGAACTAAGAGTTTAAAAAGTTTTAAAACTTGTCCAAGGTCATGCAGCTAAGATACTAGAATAAAAGCCCAGGCAGTATAATCTCACAGCTATTTACTCTGTGGCTGGAGTGTAGAGAGGATGATGGAGCAAAATATACAGAGGGATGGAGACTATATGGTCTTAGACAGAGAGATGGTGGACAAACTGACTGATAGACACATCTAGATTGACTAAGAGGTTAGCTGCTTAGCCCCAAGAGATTTTCAGTATTCCATATCTTCGCATGTCCTTTTTCCCTCAGTGTCTGAATACACTCAGTACTCCTTCTATGCTCTGCCTCCCTTTCCCATCTCCACACTTGCTTACATAGCTCAAGAGAGTTTCTCTTTCTTGCAACCAGTAGCACTTTGGAGAAAAGATCCTTCAACTAGACACCCTGTCCCTAGTATTCTGGTTCTTCTCCTACTTTTCCTGTATACCAACCTTCACTTTCAGCCAAAATGGTCTATTTATTGTGCCCTAATTACCTCTAGAAATTTCCCCATCTGAGGCTTGGAAGTCTCTTTTCTATCATTCCCAACTCTATAGATCTACCTGCTATTCACACTCCACCTTCTCCATGAAGCAGATGTTCTCTTCACACCCTCAACTCCACAGCACCGTATTTTCAGCCACCTGGAGCACCGGTTCTACATCTATCACATTACACGTTCTCCTTTCGTATTTGTCTTATTCCCCGTGGGCTACATAGTCTTGCCTGCACCCATGTGGTACTGTGTCCACTGGAGGAGCTCGGTCAGTATTTGTGGAATCTCTGGGAAGGAGTGGCGCTTTAAACTTTAAAGCTGGAGAAACGTACATGCTCAATTCAGCAAACCCCCATCAAGTGCCCGCTATGAGCCAGCAGGGACCATGTTACTATAGCCATGAAAAGAATGCAGTCTTTAATTACAGAGGAGACAAATAGAGACTCTGTGAGCTATGATGAAGAGGGCTGGGAGGGCCATAGGTAGAGGATCAGGTGACTGCAGGTGACAGGGATTAAATCCGCCCATGAGGTGGCATCCAGGAAGGTTTTCCAGAGGAGATCACATTTGGGCTTGCCTTAAAACTGGGACAGAGGTTCTCTAGGCTGAGACGTGGAGGAGTAGGGATGGACAAGACAGACACAGAACAAAAATGAAGGTGCAAAAGCACATGATGTGTTTGTAAAACTGTCAGAAAACCAGTGTGTCTGTACATGTGGGTATGTGTGCATGATGTGTGTGTCTGTGTGTGTGTGTCTGTATGTGTGTAGTGTGTGCATGTGTCTGTGTATTGGAAGGTTTGGGTGAAGAACAACATAGTGGGGAAAATGGGGAATTGGATCTGAAATGAGAAGGGGTCGAGTTGTGGACAACATCACATTTAATATTAAATACTTTAAACAATTTGGTAGGCAGAGGGAGCTAAGTAAAGGCTTTGAAGCAGCCAAGCAATGCGATCAGGCTTGTGTCTTAGAAGATAACTATGGATGCATGGTAGAGCATTCAAGAAGGTGAGCACTGTACCCACTGATAACCATCTGCCAAGCATTTACACCTGTGTCTGTCCCTACACCTTCATCCATATTCATATCTATATCCATATCTATCTATGAATCTATCAACCTAATATCCTCCAGTGGTTTTCAACTGGGGGCAATTTTATCCCCCAGAGACATTTTATAATTATCTATCTGGAGACATTTTTAGTTGTCACAACTTGGGATGCTACTAAATGTCCACCAACACACAGGACAGCCCCTGACAACAAGGAATTATTTGGCCCCAAATGCCAATGGTGCCAAGACTGAGAAACCCTGACCTACCTGCCTGTAGAAACCTGCTCAGGTGTCAACTCTAACTTGATCTAAATCGACTAAGCAAACCCTTCAAAGAGAAACCAGTTCCCTTTCTATTCCTCTCTCTCTCTTTCAAGATCCTCAAAGCTTAACTAGGTCAAAAGCAGTATGAATGTAGTTCAGTTTTGTTTTTATGCTGCTGAGTTTAAGCCAAGAGTGGCCTGGTATTTGTCTTCTTGTTTGACATGAACATTCTTTCTAAGAGCATTGAGTCTGTAGAGCTGGTTTCATAAATGGATGGGTTTCTAGATGTGATAATAAATGCTAACGTTTAGAGAATACTCACTATTTCCATGCACTTTCTTATTATTATCTCCATTTTCCAGTGGAGGAAGCTGATGCAGAGAGTGATTTACTTAGAGACTCACGGTCAACTGGCACATTTAGTAATTGATGGAGCTAGACCTGAAATGTAGGTCAGTTGGACCACTGAGTCTGGCTCCTAACCATCATGCTGTGTTGGTCTTTAATGCACTGTACTAGATTCATTATAATTTCCTTCTATGGTATTGGTCTGATGAGCCTAATCCTTTTTGACTTGAAAATGCAAGGGTGGCTGAAAGCGGGAGAGGGGTGCACAGCTGTGCTGCGTCAGGCAGAACCTTTTGCAAGTAAAATGAAAACAGTTTCGCAACAACCGCAGGAAAAAGAGATTATAAACTGATAAAAGTGTCTGGATCACTCGAGTACACTGATTTATGACTAGTACCATGTCCCTTTGAGAAAGAATACTATATGATGATTCATATTTGGCATAAAAGATGTTGCCTCTAGCTGAGGAAGCTGGCAGGTTCTCTCCTGCCTTCTTATATAAATATTTAAGAGCTATGCATCATCATTTATTAGATTTTCTGAAAATTACAGGTGTGAGCCTCTTTCCAGAATACTGGCTTTCTAAGTAGGCCTTATCAGATCATCTATAACTTACATCCTTAAAAAAGAATTGGGTTTTTTAGGCCACTTGAAGATTTCAGAGCCACTTCTGGGAAGCACTGCTCTCTGTGGGACTGCAACACACTTGCTGCTGGGCATGGTTTGCTCCATGTAGCTGCTGGTACTGAAGGTCTCTCCCGGTGCCTGATGTGGGATGTGCCTCACCTCTTACTGCAGGGACATAATCAAGCTGAACTCTACTAGTTCAACTAGTTCCACACTCTGGAGCATAACCCCAGAACTGGGCATGCCATAAAGAGATGAGCCAGGTGCAGTGGCTCACGCCTGTAATCCCAGCACTTCAGGAGGCCGAGGCGGATGGATCACCTGAGGTCAGGAGTTCGAGACCAGCCTAGCTAACATGGTGAAACCCCGTCTGTACTAAAAATACAAGAATTAGCCAGGCATGGTGGCATGCACCTGCAATCCCAGGTACTCGGGAGGCTGGAGCAGGAGAATCGTTTGAACCCGGTAGGCAGAGGTTGCAGTGAGCCAAGATTGCACCACCGCACTCCAGCCTGGCGACAAGAGCAAAACTCTGTCTCAAAAGAGAGAGAGAGAGAGAGAGAGAGAAAGGAAGGAAGGAAGGAAGGAAGGAAGGAAGGAAGGAAATGTAGCCATGGAGACTATCAGGGTAGGGGAAAGAAGAATGATTTCCTCACCCATTGCAAGGATCATGGCTGAGACTCCTATAACAAAAGACAGATTAACAAGGGAAAGCAGACACATTTATTTAATTCAAGTTTTTTTTTTTTTTTTTTTTTTTTTTTTTTTTTGAGACAGAGTCTCGCTCTGTCGCCCAGGCTGGAGTGAAGTGGCGCAATCTCGACTCACTGCAAGCTCCGCCTCCTGGGTTCACGCCATTCTCCTGCCTCAGCCTCCCAAGTAGCTGGGATTACAGACACCGCCACCACGCCCGGCTATTTTTTTGTATTTTTAGTAGAGACGGGATTTCACCGTGTTAACCAGGATGGTCTCGATCTTCTGACCTCATGATCCACCCGCCTCGGCCTTCCAAAGTGCTGGGATTACAGGCGTGAGCCACTGTTAATTCAAGTTTTATGTGACACTTTATATGGAGCTTTCAGGAATGAAAACACAGAGAAAAACAACTTGTGTAAATGTTATGCTAAGTCTGATGAAGAAGTGGATCCTTGTGGAGAAACATGATTGGACCAAGGGGATGGGATCTAATGGGAATAAACTGGAGGGACCTTAGCAAGGCCCATTTGTTCAGATTCTATCCTATGTCCCTGTGTCCCATAGGGCACCTCTGGAATAAAGACTCATTCCAGGACTATTTCAGGGAAGGTCAGCTACGTTATTAGGCCTGCTTCAGGAGACATGGCATGAGGGAAATTCTCTCCAATTTTTATGGTCAGATTTTGCAATTTTCCCAAGGTGCATAATTTGGGGTAGCATGTCCTGAACCCCACTGTCAGCCAGAAGAGAGGGACTCCTGGGTGGAAAGTATGAAAATCAGCCTGGATTTGTCTTCTTGGGGATCATCGGAAATAGTCACATTTTGACTTTGAAGGAGAGAAAATGACCCCAGAAACTGATCCCCCAGGAACTCAGGCCGTCTTTGCAAATGATTTTGACTGGACTGCTAGGCAGAAATGGAACTGTGATAAGGATTGAAACAAAGCTGTCAGTTTGCATATGGGGGAGTCTGGAGGAGCTGGAGAGGTTGATAGAATCTGGAGAAAAGATCAAAGTAAGGAACTGAAAATAAATATTTAAGATTCCATATCATTACGTATTCAACTTTTTGAAGCCTACAGAAGTGAGATTCATCAATTTCTCTTTCCCTTAAAAAAAAAAAAAAGAGGCAAAACCTAACCTCCCAATCCTGGCAAGAGGAAAGAGACACCCCTGTAGTCCAGGGAAAACCGGTTCACCTTATTGCTATTTCATGGAAGCAGCCTGATCCACCAGGGAGGGACCAAAGAGAGGCTTTTATTTAAAATTAATGGTTGAGGTCACCTCTTAAAAGCCTGTCATTTACATGATCAAAGGAGCAATTGCTTCCTGACAGCAATGATGGGAAAATGGAAACATTGGCATTGATGTTTTACCCACAAACCTCCACTCATCTACTTACTCCATTTTATCCCTTGACCTGTGTTTTTAATCATTTCACCTCCTTTCTGCCAAGAATTACTGCTTTCTCTAACACAGGCAATGACCTTACTGCCTGGCGATTTCAAGGACCCCTTTGACAAGAGGAGGTCGCTTACGATTGTCCATTCATCCTTTCAGGAATAAATCACGTGGATTCTTTCCCATTGCATGTGAACCCATAGGAGAATGGAGACGTAGGGCAAAAGGTTGGGTTGCTCACTGTCCAGAGGAGGGAAACCTGCAGTTCCCACTGCACCACTTGCAGGACATTGTCCAGGAACCCAGTGGTCAGCTCTCACCATAATTAGGTGCAAGTGTAATCGTCATGTCATGCTAAAGACTGTGTTACCCTGAATACGCTAAGGACCATCCTGGCTATAGACACACCATCACTACAGAATATTCCTTTGCTTTGGTTTATTTGAGCGGGGAGGGGATGTTCTTGTTGCCCCATTTGTTCCAAAGTGAGTCTGTAGCTTCTCTCTGACTCTCTTGGAAGTTCCTTAACCCACAGAAGATGTCTGTGTCTCTCCCTAGTATTAGAAAACTACAACACAAATTGAGGCCTTCCTGGTCTGAAATCTCCAAAAAGAAATCCTCTCTTTCTCTGGCCCTTCCCCATGGATTTCGTTTACTCTAATTTTCTTCCAAGATGTATATGGTGATGCTTCAGAAGCAATATAGTGCAACAGCTAAGAGTGTGAAGACTGTGGCCAGAATGAAGGGTCTGTGTCATATCCCTCACTTGCCAGTGTTGGGGAGAAAAGACTTTTCACCCATCACAAGGTTCGTGGCTGACACCCTGATATCATTTGGAGGTTTGTCCCATCCAAATATCATATTGAAATGTGATCCCCAATGTTGGAGGTGGGACCTGGTGGGAGGTGTTTGGGTCATGGGGCCGGATCATTCATGAATGGCTTGGTGCCCTCCCCATGGTAATAAGTGAGTTCTTATGCTATTAGTTTACATAGAGCTAGTTGTTTAAAACGGTCTGGCACCTCGTCCTCTCTCTCTTGCACCCAATCTTGCCATGTGACATGCTGACTCACCCTTGGCCTTCTGCCACGATTGGAAGCTAACTGAGGCCTCACCAGAAGCAGATGCTGGCACCACGCTTCCTGTATATCTTGCAGAACTGTGAGCCAAATAAACCTCTTTTCTATAGAAATGATTCAGTCACAGGTATTCTTTTATAGGAACACAAAATGGACTAATACAGACCCCTATAAAAAAAGACAGATTAATGAAGGAAAAGCATACAAATGTATGTAATAGAAGTTTCATGTAACATAAGAGCCTTCAGAAATGAAGATGCAAAGAAGCAGGAGAGCCATGTATATTTTATGCTAAGTCTGATGAAGAAGTGAATTGTTACGGGGAAACATGATTGAACAAGGGGGGTGTGATCTAATGGTAACAAACTGTGGGGACTTAGTGAGGCCAGTTTGTTCAGATTCTCCTATGTGTCTCTGTGTGACATTCCTTCCTTCTGGGTATAGAGGAAAACATCTGTCACATAAGGAACGTTAGGAGAGAAGGGAGGAAGAAGGTGAGAGACTGATCTTCCTCAGATACATGACCTGCTGTAGGAAAGGAGGGCAAGGGAAAGGTCAGAGAGACCTTCCTGCTTCTGCTTTCTCAAATGACAAGGTGTCATATTTTGGGGTAACATGTCCTCAACCCCCTCAATAGTGAGTCTTTGAGAAAACGTAAGCCTTGATTTTCTTGTCTGTAAACTGGGAATAATAATTTTAACATACTAGTGTTTAAGGACTATATTAGCCAATGGACTCAGCACAGGACCTGGGATATAGTAAATACTCGATAAATACTAGCTTTATCAGTAGTATTGTTGCTTCTTACTGTTGCTATTAATAGCATGTGCTCTATGGAATTCAAGTCAGACCAGTTGCCAGTGCCATTCTACCAGGCAAAATGCCTAACCACCAGTGCCTTTCACAAGGAAAATATTCAATGAAGAACCTTAACATGGAAGAAAGGGTGAGAACAAAAGAAGGAGAGGACAGGAAGAACTTGGTAAACACTCCTGGCAAGGCAGGAACTTGCAAATCAAAGAATCTGTCAACCATTGTGACTCCTCGCTACCCTATGAGGGCATATCTGGGAGCATTCCTGGAGGCCTAGTTAAGGCCTAATAATAGGAGAGAGTCTGGGATGCTTAAAGGATGGAGGAACGAGTAGGTTGAAGTGGGTAGAGTCAGAGGTGTGCTGTAAACCTGGAGAGACAGGCAGGGCAGAACCAGGCTGAAGTCTTAGTCATGTTACTTACTTTGGTTTTTATTCTAAGAGCAAGAAAGCCAACAGAGAGTTTTTTTTTTTAATCTTATATTTATTTGAATACTAACAAAACTTAATTTGTATATATTTGTTTGCTTTTGCATGTTTCTTTTTTGAATTTCCATTATTTGTTTTTCTGATAGGTTTTTTATCTGAATTGTCACTTGCTATTCAATTTGCTTATTGTGTTTTTGCCTACAAAACTTTAACATTTTTATTCTGTGGCAATATCAACATTTTTTTTCTTTTTTAAATTTTATTATTATTATACTTTAAGTTCTAGGGTACATGTGCACAATGTGCAGGTTAGTTACATATGTATACATGTGCCATGCTGGTGTGCTGCACCCGTTAACTCGTCCTTTAGCATTAGGTATATCTCCTAATGCTATCCCTCCCCCCTCCCCCCACCCCACAACAATCCCCAGCGTGTGATGTTCCCTTTCCTGTGTCCATGTGTTCTCATTGTTCAATTCCCACCTATGAGTGAGAACATGCGGTGTTTGGTTTTTTGTCCTTGCGATAGTTTACTGAGAATGATGATTTCCAATTTCATCCATGTCCCTACAAAGGACATGAACTCATCATTTTTTATGGCTGCATAGTATTCCATGGTGTATATGTGCCACATTTTCTTAATCCAGTCTATCATTGTTGGACATTTGGGTTGGTTCCAAGTCTTTGCTATTGTGAATAGTGCCGCAATAAACATACGTGTGCATGAGTCTTTATAGCAGCATGATTTATAGTCCTTTGGGTATATACTCAGTAATGGGATGCCTGGGTCAAATGGTATTTCTAGTTCTAGATCCCTGAGGAATCGCCACACTGACTTCCACAATGGTTGAACTAGTTGACAGTCCCACCAACAGTGTAAAAGTGTTCCTATTTCTCCACATCCTCTCCAGCACCGGTTGTTTCCTGACTTTTTAATGATTGCCATTCTAACTGGTGTGAGATGGTATCTCATTGTGGTTTTGATTTGCATTTCTCTGATGGCCAGTGATGATGAGCATTTTTTCATGTGTTTTTTTGGCTGCATAAATGTCTTCTTTTGAGAAGTGTCTGTTCATGTCCTTCACCCACTTTTTGATGGGGTTGTTTTTTTCTTGTAAATTTGTTTGAGTTCATTGTAGATTCTGGATATTAGCCCTTTGTCAGATGAGTAGGTTGTGAAAATTTTCTCCCATTTTGTAGGTTGCCTGTTCACTCTGATGGTAGTTTCTTTTGCTGTGCAGAAGCTCTTTAGTTTAATGAGATCCCATTTGTCAATTTTGGCTTTTGTTGCCATTGCTTTTGGTGTTTTAGACATGAAATCCTTGCCCATGCCTATGTCCTGAATGGTAATGCCTAGGTTTTCTTCTAGGGTTTTTATGGTTTTAGGTCTAACGTTTAAGTCTTTAATCCATCTTGAATTAATTTTTGTATAAGGTGTAAGGAAGGGATCCAGTTTCAGCTTTCTACATATGGCTAGCCAGTTTTCCCAGCACCATTTATTAAATAGGGAATCCTTTCCCCGTTGCTTGTTTTTCTCAGGTTTGTCAAAGATCAGATAGTTGTAGATATGCGGCGTTATTTCTGAGGGCTCTGTTAGCCAACAGAGAGTTTTAAGCAAGCAAATTTTAAGACCTAATTTGTATTTTGAAAAGACTATTTTTTTCTTTTTCTTTTTCTTTTTTTCTTTTTTTTTTTTGAGACAGACTTTTGATCTGTCATCCAGGCTGGGGTGCAGTGGTGCAATCCCAGCTCGCTACAACCTCCACCTCCCAGGCTCAAGCCATCTTCCCACCTCAGCCTCCCAAGTAGCTGGGACCACAGGTGTTTGCCACCATGCCTGGCAAATTTTTATATTTTTTGTAGAGACAGGGTTTTGCTGTGTTGCCCAGGCTGGTCTCCTAATGCCTGTCTTCAAGTGACCCACCCACCTTGGCCTCCCAAAGTGCTGGGATTACAGGTGTGAGCCACCACATCTGGCCTGAAAAGACTCCTCTTAATCTTAAGCATAGATTGGACAGAACCAGAGTAAAGGAAGGTGATAGATGAATTGGAAGATTATTGTAGCAGTCTAGGCAAGAAATGTACTAGCTGAGAGTATGGTTGGAATGGAGAAAATGGAAAGAGCTGGACGTACTTGAGAAGTAATTTGGGAAAAAAATCAAAAGGATATATTTACGAATTAGTAGAGGAAGGGGTTGAAGAAGAGAGTGGTATCAACTGTGACTCCTAGTTGTGACCAGAGAGATTGGGTGGTTGGTGGGGACATTTGAGCTACTTTTGAGATATAAAAAGTAGTTAACTAGACCGCTGGATATGCAAATCTGGAGCTCAAGGGAAAGATTGGGCTGAATTTGGAAGTGATGAGATGGTAATAAAAATGTTTTCAAAGTTAGAGAAAAGTACAGAGGTAGCTGAAAAGGATGAGACATTAAAAATGTTTATTTTAAGATCAAAAATTCTTGAGCACATACAAAAGTTAATGAAAATTAAAAAGAACAATGGAATATGCAGGAGGAAGAAGGAATAAATAATTATGAAAATATTCTATCGATTTGTTTTTAATCAATTTTGTATTTTTCATATTTCCAAAAATTATTCAAAATAACATAATATTTCAATATGAAACACAAAAGCAGTAGTATTTAATTTTTGAAATATTTAATATTAGTAACAGAAGATTATAATACATTAAGGTATCTGAAACTAGTGGATCTGTCAGGATGATTGAAATTAACAAACCCCTTGAACAGGGCCAAATCTAGCCTAGCACCTGCTTTTGTAAATAAGACTACCGGAAAACAGATATGCCCATTTATTTACATATTGTCTATGACTGCTTTCCACTACAATGGCAGAGTTGAACAGAGATTGTATGGTCTGAAAAACCGAAAATATTTACTATATTCCTCCACTTTGGCATAAAGATTATTTTAAGTTGTAGACAATAAGAACAAGCAGACACCAAAAAAAGCCCTCTGCCTTGTCCCTATTTACCTGAAAGCAGGACATAAATTTCCCTTTGAGATGGTATCCCCACTCCTCTTTCCCATACCAGGAAGAGGAGAAGGAATCTTACTACTGGAGAGAGCACTGAGATAAGTATACACAAACAAAACCTTAATAAACAACTTTTATCTTCCGTTAGTTTCCCCCATATATTTACCTTCCCACAAATTATCCTGGAAGCTCAAAACTCCCGTTCCTTTGTAATTGTCATGTCTGCACAAATTACAGCCCTTTGTTAGAGTGGTATATAAGCCTCCAGTTCTCACTGCCTCTTTGGGGTTTCACTTGATTTCTGTGAGGCCTTCCATATGCACATAAAATAACTCTTTCCCTCCTGTTAATCTGTCTTTTGCAGGTTTACTTTTTAGGGCTCCAGTTACTAAACCCAAGAGGGTAGAGAAAAAGTTTTCCGCCCCCTGCAATAATAAGCATGTAACATACAAGTAAACTGCAAAAAATAGTTGTGAGATCAGGAGGGAAAAATTCAGAGTTGGAATCAGAGGCAGGGAGGGGAACTGACATCAGCCTGTCTTTCTTTGTCCAAATCATATCCTTACCGTGTCCTTATTCATTTCTTCATTGAGAAGATCCATCTTTTCCAAATTTTTCTGGTATCGCTTGGAAAACACAAAAATCACCTCTGGGAAGCTTGGGTTTTTATGTTTATAAATATTCACTTAATTTCCACAAATATGACGTTTTTCACCAGGGTAGGGGGGCGTGCCTGTTGGGAAAGATTGTAACGCAGGGCCTTGCAGATTTTGTCCTGTCCAGTTTTCTTATTAGCTTGAAATAACTTAATTTTTTTTCTTTGGAATATCCTTTCCTTTCTGCTTTCCTCATTGTAATACATAAAACAAACGCAAGTTCTTACCCAACAGAGTCCTGTAGAAGCATTTGTGAGAAAAGGAGAGATTTTGAGTAATGTGCGGCCTGTGCAAGATTCTCACTGAATTGGACTGTCCTAAATAGGAAGCTTGAATGAGAGATTTCCTTGTTAGGTTTTCTCCTTACTATCACTACCCACAGCATATTTTTTTAGATATATTTGCAATATTAATTGAGTACCTACTGTAAACCTTGCATTTTACATAATTTGTGTAAATTATTCCTCACTATAACCTTGCAAATATACCTTATTGACCCATTTTACAGATGAGCAACGAGGTTTACGGAGTGAATTTCCCACATTCATAGAACTGGAATTTGAACTTTGGTCCAGTTGAATTACAAAGTTTGCCCTCTTTCCAATATATCCTCCTGTCATTTTCTTGGGTAAGATGTGTTTTCCTGCTAGTTAATTCTGTATCAACATTTGAACATATAGCCAAGGGCACAAAGAGAGTTTTTAGGATTTCTAGTGGAGTTCTTTGTAAAAACACTGTTCTTTTTTTTTTTTTTTTTTTGACAGAGTCTTGCTCTGTCGCCCAGGCTGGAGTGTGAAGGCGTGATCTTGGCTCACTGCAACGTCCACCTCCTGGGTTTAAGCATTTCTCCTGCCTCAGCCTCCTGAGTAGCTTGGATTATAGGCACTCACCATCACGCCTGGGTAATTTTTTGTTTTGTTTTGTTTTGTTTTTGAGACGGAGTCTTGCTCTGTCGCCCAGGCTAGAGTGCAGTGGCGCAAACTCGGCTCACTGCAAGCTCTGCCTCCCAGGTTCACGCCATTCTCCCGCCTCAGCCTCCTGAGCAGCTGGGATTACAGGGACCTGCCAGCATGCCCGGCTAAGTTTTTTGTATCTTTAGTAGAGACGGGGTTTCACCATGTTAGCCAGGATGGTCTCCAACTCCTGACTTTGTGATTCGCCTGCCTCAGCCTCCCAAAGTGCTGGGATTACAGGCGTGAGCCACCATGACCAGCCAATTTTTGTATTTTTAGTAGAGACAAGGTTTCACCATGTTGGCCAGGCTGGTCTTAAACTCCTGACCTCAAGTGATCCACCCTCTTGGCCTCCCAAAGTGCTGTGATTACAGGCATGAGCCATTGCATCTGGCCAAAAACACTGTTCTTTTACATTTATTTTGTACATCTATTGAGATTTTTACAAGTTGATTTTACAAATGTGCAACCAATCTCTTTGCTGCTTTCTCTGTTCTGATTTTCTTGTAGCTGAGCCCTATATCCTAGAGTCTTCTCTTTTCAACACTAAAACAAAAATATTAAGAGTTTGCCCAATATAATCCATAATTAGCTGAGATAGCTACTGTTGAAACTGCTTACTGCCCATCTTTACCCAGAACCAAATTGGGAAAAGCATTTCCTTTTCAAGGAGATCCATAAACTATGAAGAAATATATTGCTAAGCTTCTTATTTAGCAGTTTTGTAAATTATAATTAATAATATTGTTTAACAATAATATTTTGGTAACAATGGTTTACACAACGCTAGATATCTTTGCAAAATATAGGGAGATGTTCTTTAAGACTTTATTATAAGAATCGGTAAGTGTGATGAATTCATTACTGCCTCATCTTTTTGCCCATCCTATATTTAAAACACTGCAGTTTATGATGTAGAATATTAAAATCTATTATGAATACATGATTAATACATATAGAAAAACCCTTCTAACAGCTGTGTGCTGTTTTATTGTTATGATTGTCTTTCCAATGTGGCATTAATAAAATTGATGCCATAGTACAGCCCCTCAAATTGCTTGTTACTGGTAATGAGGGAATAATTTGAAAGTAAATAGTCTCTGGCAAAACTAAAGATGGCTATTTATTTGAGACTTGATTAATTAATAATTATTCATTAACTGATGCTAAATGCCTAATGTGTTGTCTTTGCCTCTTGGCCAAAAGATACTGGTGTTTTATTTTGGTGCCAATGCTAATTGTTAATTATTGCTCTGGGAGCTGGAATTTGACTGAGAAACAAAAGTTTGCTAGTGACTTGCTTTCCTCAAGTCCACGGAGGAGGGAAAAAAAAAAAAAAGCCTCTAGACCCTTGAGTCTCACTTCTAAGCCTGAGCTTTATGCCTAAAATTTGCAGCCCTGAGGGAAAGGTTTGGAAAGCTGCAGGAAAACCCCACAAGACAAGCATTCATAGCTGAAGCTTTGGGGACCATTGTTGCAAACTGAGTCCTAAATCAACTGAGGTCATTTAAACCGAATGCACTACCAGCCTGTTTCAATGTGGAATTTCAGCAAGGTGTTGTTAATATCCCCTTAAGTGGCTTTGTTGTGATTTAACATTTCGACTACTGGGACCTAATTGGACCTTAGGTCTTAGCAGTTCTGAACAAAGAGTGACATTTTCAAATAATTTGGGAAAATACATTAATTTCCTTAACTTTTTTTATTGTTTGTGGGTAGGGCCAAGGAAGACTACATCTCTATAAAAAAGCACACAGATCCTTCCAATTTATTGCTTGACAGTTCGCATAAGTTTAGACATTTGCATGGTTGATGGTAGATGATAGAATGCCTTGAAAGTTTTTTCCAGGGTGCAAAGTTTATATAATTTGTTTTACATTTCATTGCAATAGGCAGTGTTTCCATTGGCTGCAATTTTTTAAGGCTAGACATGCACAACTTCTGATAGCAACAGGAGGCAGCCAAATGCCCAGGCAGACAGGGGTGGGTCCCCAGTGAAACCCCACCTTCAAGCCAAAAAACAGCCTGAAGGCTGGAAGACCAGACTGCTGGTCCTGGATGAAACCCACAACCCAGTGTGAGAACTTCTGTTCCTGTTTGCCCCCACTTTCCTGGTTGATTCTTTCTGAATAATGCCTTCTAACCAATCAAATGTTGCCTTTTCCAATACTATCTGCGGCCTGCCCCCTCCCCTATTCTGAGGCCATAAACCCCCGGACTCAGCCACACTGGGGGGACTTTCCTGCCTTCAGTTAGGGGGATCATCCCCATGTCTCCTCTCCATGGAAGGCTGTTTCATCACTCAGTAAAACTCCCTGCCTTGCTCACTCTTCAATTGTCATGTATCCTCATTCTTCTTGGATGCTGGACAAGAGCTCGGGACCCACCAAGTGCAGGTACCCAGAAAGGCTGTCACACTGGCCTTTTGCCCTCACTGGCAGAGGGCAGCCACCCCACACAGTAGGGCCAGGGACCAGCTGAGCTGCTAACATGCTGCCGTCCATCAGGCTGTGGATAGAGGCACTAAAAGAGCTAATTAGCACACACACACCCCCTCTGGGGCTTCAGGGTCACAAGCACCCTCTCAAGGTGACATGCCTGGTCTGGTCACAGGCCCTGTATGGAGCTTGCTCCTGTGTTGGTGCTTGGAGTGGCCGGCCAGATCCCAAACTTGCTTGCTCACATGCTCCCTCCTGCAAGGGGCTGAGTGCAGCAGGCCAAGTAGATGGGATGCCCCTGCTGCGAGTCCAGCAAAGGGGCTGAGAAAAATCCTGTGTCACTTCCACAATGTATAAAGCTTTTTAAATTTAATGAATATCATTCTTACACGTCATTAAAAAATTAACATGAAGCCCTTTGTGGCCACTTCAGTGAATTCTCTGGCATTCTTTTGATGGAGTGACTTTCTAGTTAAGATAGAATTACACCTCCCTAATATGGGAAGGAAACACAAGGAGCATTTGTTTAATTCTTTGATTCAGGGCTAGATCCAGGTTAATTGAACAGTGAGTTGTCTATGCTATTCTGAAAGGTTTCCAGGAATGAATACTTCATCTCTTGGTAGCCTGTTCCAGTGCTGAATCAGAAAGTTCTTTACCAATGTCTTATTTGACTTCTTGCTGCTCCAAAAGCTTTGCTCTCTGTGGAAATTGAGAATGGTTCGGAAACAATCTATTTATAATAATATTTCAGATTCTTAATGATAGCTATTAAATTTCTCTTCAACTTTCTTCCCACCAAGGTAATTAACCGAATTCTTTTAACCTTTCCTTCTAAGACCTCACGTGGCTGTTAGCAGCCATGCGTCATTTACACATCAATTCTCAGTTCTAGTGCTCAAATTATTTCAAGGATACTTGCTGGGTATTTGGCCATGAGGCATTTGAAAAGGTCTCAAGGAATTCCAACAAGAGTATTTTATTGCGGTGAATGTTTAAGTGCTGTTATCCACCGCGTGCTGAGCTCTGCCAAGGACCACCTTATACCAGCTGAAGGTGTCAGGCTCTTATATTTTATGGTAGATAGTTGTTCCCTTCATGGAGTTTAAAGTATCGTGGAGGAGTGTACGTTCCCAGGAAATGAAATCATTTCGCCAAATTCACTTGACTGTCATCATTAATGTTGGTTGCTGTCCCTGCAGCAGCTTTCTTTCAAAGTTGATTTATCAAGAAGAGTCCATAGGTTGAGAAAAGGCATAAAATAATTCATATCATGAGGGCCTGAAGTAGTAGGAAGTCAGATGGCAATGAAGGAAGCCAAAAAGGGCTCCCCACCTGGGTCTAGTATCTGTCCATGACAGAGACTAAAGTCCAAGCCTCTGTCACACCCCAGTGCTTACCTTAATAATGTTCCACACAGCACCTCGCCTCTCAGGCTACCCTTTACTTTACCTTTTAAGAACAATAATTGCTATAACAACATACACTTCTAATTTTGTCTTTACAAAAACATTACGTGTGCATTTGAAATAAAGGGAAACATGCAAATAAACTGGAGAAAGAGAAAGAAAACCTCATCACAGTCCTATCATCTAGGTAAAACTACCAATAATAGCTCCTGGCATTTCCTGGCCTTTTTATTGCATTTGAACAAAAGTAAGAGTGTATGATACAGTTTTATAAATGTGTCTTTTAAACATTTAATCAGATATCATGAATGTATTTTGATATCAACAGATATAATTTCCCATCCTTTTTAGTGACTGCATGACACTTTATTGCATGAATATAATTTACTTAACCAAGCTCCTATTTTGGGATAGTTTATTTTCAATACTTTCAATGATAACATTTAGACAAGCACTCTCATAGCTAAGCCTTTGTACATTTTAATTGTTTACTTAGAATTTAGTCCTAGGAAGGAATGAAAAAAAAATTATTAAACAGAATACATCCATTGTTAAGGATTTGGCTAAGTGTTGCACCCTTCTCTAATAGAAGGTTTTCACTCATTCATTTTCCTACCTGATGTGTATGAAAGCATCCTGTCCTCACGTCCTCACATCTTAAATTTTTTGTCAGGTTGATAGTTGCAAAATGATATACTATTTTTGTTTTTTAAAATCAATTTGATGAAATTATTATGTACATACAGTATAAAAAATACACTCACTTTACAGGTATGTTCCGCAAGAGTTAACAAACGTACACGCAATGTAACCACGAGCCAATAAAGATATAGAATATTTTTGTCCTTCTAAAAAGTTACCCCATGTCGTTTTGTCCTAGTCCCAGACAATCACTAATTTGTTTGCTGTCACTATAGAGGCCTTTTGATAATTCTTTACTTTTATATATACAGAGTCATACAACATGTACTCTTTTGAGTCTGTATTCATTTACTCTGCATAACATTTTTGACACACATCCATGTTGAGAGCATCAGTAGTTATTTCTTTTTATTACTGGATAATATTGCATTACACAGATATACGCAATTTGCCTACCACTCATTTGCAAATGGACATTTAGGTTGTTCTGAGTTTTAGCCTTAAAAGTAAGTTGCAACGAACATCTGTATACAAGTGATTTTTTGTGGACATGTGTTTTTATTTCCCTTAGATAAATACCTAGGAAAGGAATTATTGAATTGTGCAGTAAATGCATGTTTAATTTCACAAGAAGATGCCAAAGTCGTAACAGTTTATACATCCAAAGCAATCTATGAGCGGTCCAGTTGTTCCATATCTTTGTCAACACTTGCTATCATCAGCCTTTTAAGTTCTAGCCCACCCAGTGGGTGTGTAGTCGTATCTCAATGTGATTCAAATTTGCATTTGCTGATGGCTAGTGATATTGGGCATCTTTTCACGCACTTACTGGCCATTCATATGTCTTCTTTCATGAAGTGCCAGTTCAAATCCTGCCCACTTTTTAACTGGATTATCATTGAGTTAGTGGAATCCTTTATAAATAGTGGATGTAAATCCCTTGTCAGATGTATATTGCTAATATTTTCTTCTAGTCTGTGGCTTGCCTTGTCATTTTGTTGATGGTATCTATGATATCTTCCAAAGACCAGAAGGTTTTAATTTTGATGGAGTCCAAAGTATTATTTTTTTTCTATTATAGTTCTTGCTCTTTTTGTGTTTTGAGAAATCTTTGTCTATTACAAGGTTGTAAATGTGATCACTTACATTTTCTCTTTGAAGTTTTCTAGTATTAGCCAATACATTATCAACTGTGATTCATTTTGAAATAACTTTGTGAATGGTGTGAAGTATGAGTTGAAATTCATTTTCATTTTTTTTTGTTTTAGCACCACTTATTAAAGGTTATCCTTCCCCTATTACATTAGCTTGGTTTCTTAGACAGAAAAGCCAACTAACTATATATGTATGGTTTTATTTCTGGAGTCTGTTTTTAGTTCCAAAATAACATGCCCATTATTAAGTTAATATCACATTTTCTTAATTACCGTATTTTTTGGTACTTCTTGAAGTCAGGTAATATGAGTCCTCCAACATTACTCTCCTTTTTCAAAATTATTTTGGGTATTCTACATTCTTTGCATTTGCATTTTAGAATTAGTTTGTCGTTTTTAAGGGAAGCCTGTAAGAAATTCATTAAGATGGCTTTGAATATATAGATCAATTTAGAGATAACTGATATTTTAATAATACTGAGTCTTTCAATCCATGAGGATTGATGTGGTTTGGCGCTGTGTCCCCACCCAAATCTTATCTCAAATTGTAATCCCCACACGTGGAGGGAGAGACCTGGTGGGAGGTGATTGGATCATGGGGGCGGTTTCTCCTATGCTATTCTCATGATAGTGAGTGAGTTCTCACAGGATCTGATGGTTTTATAAATGGGATTTTCTCCTGTGCTATCTGTCTTTCTCTCCTGCCACCATGTAAGAGGTGCCTGCTTCCCCTAAGCCTTCTGCCTTGATTTTAAGTTTCCTGAAGCCTCCCAGCCGTGTGGAACTGTGAGTTAATTAAGCCTTTTCCCTTATAAATCACCCAGTCTCAGGTGTTTCTTTATAGCAGTGTGAAAATGGACTAATACGGAGATGGTTTATTTCTTTAATTTATTTCAGCAACGTTTTTTGGTTTTCAGTATTTAGGTTTTATACATATTTTATTAAATAATTTTAATATTTTTATGCTATTGTAAATGGTATTAGTTTTTAAAATTTCTTTTTTGAATTGTCCATTGCTAGTGTTTTGAAATATAGTTAAATTTTGTGTATTGACCTTGCATTTTGTAAGCTTTCTCAATGTACTTATTATTTTTGTAGCTAATTTTTAATTTATTTTTATTCTGTGTTTTTTTTTTGAGATGGAGTCTCCCTCTTTCACCCAGGCTGGAGTGCAATGGCATGATCTCAGCTCACTGCAACTTCTGCCTCCCAGGTTCAAGTGATTCTCCTGCCCCAGCCTCTCGATTAGCTGGGATTACAGGTGCGTGCCTCCATGCCCAGCTAATTTTTGTATTTTTAGTAGAGACGGGGTTTCACCATGTTGCCCAGGCTGGTCTTGAACTCCTGACCTCAAGTGATCCACCCGCCTCAGCCTTGTAGCTATTTTTATAGATTTCTTAGGATTATCTACATATGCAGTCATATAATCTGCAAATGAAGACAGCTTTCTTTCAAATCTGTGTACATTTTAATTCTTTTTTAACCTTATTGGGCAAAACCTCTAGCACAGTGTTGAATAGGAGTGGTAAGAGAAGATGTCTTTTCCTTGCTTCTGATCCCAGGGAGGAAGCATTCAGTCTTTAACAAGTTGTTAGTTGTAGGTTTTTCATAGATGTACTTTGTTAAATTGAAGAGCTGCCCTTTATTCCTAGCTTGCTACAAGGTTTTACCATAAATGAGTCTTAATATTTTGTCATGTATTTTTCTGTGCATTTTTGGTGGTCATATGCTACATGCTCCACCCTGATTCTGTTAATATGGGTGGGAGTAAACAGTGGGGAAATGGAAATATAATGTCGTAAGGCTCTTACACTTTACATGCAGTGATATAATATTATTGGGGGAAAGACAATTATAAGGTAAGAATGCATAGCGTGATCTCTAGAACCACCACCTAAAACAAAGCAAAACAAGTGACATAGAGAAAACATCCATTGTGGAGATACAAGGAAATCATTTTAAAATTATTCTGTCAATCTGGAGAAAAGCAAAAAAAAAGTGGGGGGAAAAAACTCAAAGAACAGGTGAATCAACTACAAAACAAATAGCAAGATGGTGGACTGAAACACAATATTTATAATTATGTTAAGTGTAAATGGCCTAAACACCACAATTAAAATTGGTTTTCAGACCAGGTAAAAGAGATCCAACATATGCTATCTATAATAAATGTACTTTAAAATATAAAGACATCTATAGGTTAAAAGTATGGAAAAGATATATCAAGCAAATAGTAATCTTAAGAAAGAGGGAACTGTTATATTAATATCAAACATCATAGACTTAAAGACAAGGAATATTACCAGGACCATATAAATTACATTTTACAATGATAAAATAATAAATCAAGAAGCTATAATAATCTCAATTTTGCATGCACTGAATAGCAAAGCTTTCAAATATATAAACACTGATGTGGATGAAAGTAAAAATAGATGAGTATATTTTACCTTTTCTCTCTTTAGATATCCACCAAACCTGATTTATAAGAGCTTTTAACTTATGATTTTGTAAGAAAGTTATAAACTGTCTGTTATAAATATTTCTAATTTGTTAGTTGTCATTTCATTTTATATAGGTGTTATATAGTCATTACGAACTTTTTCCTTTATGGTTCTTGGCTTTAGTATTATGCTTAGAACATATTATTTTTATCTGGATATTAGATGCAAAATTTCCATTGCATTTTTGTTTCCTTACAACAGTTTTTAAATTTCATTTAATTTTTCCTCTTAAATATTAATATTTTGGGAATGTAAGTACTACTAAATCCCATATAATTTTTAATTTTCAATTTTTAAGCATTTTGAAATATTTTCTTTCAGAATATAGTGTAGAATGGTAATCTGCTTTTTCCTAATCATTAATTTCTGCAACATTGTTGGAAATCGGTCTTTTTCCAGCTTTCTTTGCAAGTTTAGACTCAATAACTCTTTCCTCTCTCCCTCCTGCCTTCCCTATGGAACACTTACTGAACAGCTATTCCAAATCATGTAGTATGCTTGAAACTGCTATTCCATACCATGCAGTATGCTTGAAACTGCTACTCCATACCATGCAGTATGCTGGAAACTGCTACTCCATACCATGCAGTATGCTGGAAACTGGGGATTAAAACAACAACAACAACAAAAACAAGGTGTGGGAAAACCAAATACATTGGTTTTGAGCCCATGGTCTTTTGAAAAGTAGAGGAACAAATAGTAGATGTCTGAACATCTAAAGCACTGTGTTATCAAAGATGACGGAGTGACAGCCTCTGCCTGGGAGCCGTTGTAAGTGACATTTCATCTGCTCATAAAGAACAGGGAATGGGGAAGCTCACAGCAGTCCCACGAACAGTTCAGCACCGAGGGAGCCACTGTGCAGATGAGGGGCCGAGTGGGGCTGAAATCCAGCGCCAGTGCTTCCTACCAAGCAAGGTGGCCTGGCACTGGCTGTATCCTGCTGGGGAAAGGGGCCTTTGATTTACACAGAAGCTGTACCTACACCACTGACAGCCCTAGAAGAATCTAAGTCCAAGGATTTGGCATTCAGCGTGACATAGCGGAGGCAGATGGAGAGTTCCAGTGAAGCTTAAGCATGGACCCTGTAGACAGCCGTGGCTGGAGAGGTGCTTTCACAGTCTGTTAGAACATCTTAGAGATTTCACACTCTATCCTGTGGAATCAATTTTTCATGTTAGAACAGTAGGCCTACCCTGCATGATCAGTACTGCATTTTAGAAAACATGCCCTTGGCAGCAGCATGGAGGGTAGTCAGCAAGAGAATGGGAGAAGAGACTGAGATTAGAGGTGCTGAGGTTAGGGAGAGGTTGTGAGTAGTCAAGGCTACAGATGCTGAAGATTCAAATTTGTATGGATGGTGGGGAAGGCCACGCTTTGAGAGAGATTTCTGAGGCTGAATAAGTAGAACTTAAATCCCCACAAAGGTAAGGCCTAGAGAGAAATCAAATATTTTCCCTCGTGCACCCAATCTCTAAGCCTTCAGAAAGGACCTCATTTTAATTTGAGGTTTCGTTTAGAGAAGGTTGGGTGTGGTGGCCCGTGCCTGTAGTCTCAGCACTTTGGGAAGCTGAGGTGGGAGGATTGCTGAAGGCCAGGAGATCAAAACCAGCCTGGGCAACATAGAGAGACCCCATCTATACAAAAAAAAAAAAAAGATAAGCTTAGACTCTCTGGGCAACATAGCGAGACCCCATCTATACAAAAAAAAAAAAAAAAAAAAAAAAAGATAAGCTCAGACTCTCCATCTATACAAAAAAAAAAAGATAAGCTCAGACACCCAAGTGTCCCAAGGTGCTATATTTCCTGCTTACCTGTGAAATATATAATGAGTTCCAAAGTCTGTCGAGCTTAGAAACATAACCAGATCCACACCTGACCTTTTAGGACTTTACAATCTCATGAAAGATTTAAAAAAAAAAAAAAAAAAAAAACTTACATTTTTCTAGTAATATTTTGTAGCCCAGAAAATCTTTCCCTTCTGCAGTAATGATCTCTCCTAGGTGCTTAGTCCTCATGGACTGGAGAGCTAATTTCAGTGTGGTCTGAAAACATTCCTCTTACAGCCTCAGCCTTCCTTCCCTGTACCAAGCACACTGACCTCATAATCTAAGGCTTTAATGTATTCACCACACAATGTCTTTGCCCTCTTGCCGTCTGTAATTTATGCCTAACACATTCTGCTGCCTGGCATTATTTAATTCTGCTTTAAAAAAATGACAAGAGTTTTGTCAACCAGTTGGTAGGAATCACCCCATTAAAAATATTGTTATGCATAACGGCCTTTAAAAAAAATTCCCAGCAGTGAATTTCAGTTTTGTAAGATAATGCTTGTTTTAGCACTACCCTGCTGGTGGTAACAGTTATCATTAATATTATGAAGTAAAGATAATAGGAGCCCTAGGGAAAGAATGACCTCCCAAGAGAATTTTAGAGATTCTAATCCAGATTTGAATTACCCATCTGGGCAAATAAAAGGAAGCAGCAACTTAAATGTGTCAGGGTAGAACCTGAGCAGAATCTCTGAAATGCCCAGGCTACCCTGGGCTACAATTGACCTCTCTTTCCTTTAATATCATTTTCTTTGGCAGATGACAAATTGGTAATTAAAATATTGAGAGTATCCTAAAAAGTGCACAGAAATGGTATCTTTTTTTTTTTCCTCTTGAAGATCTTGCAACCAATACTCTGATTTTCATTTCCTGACTACAGTGTGTTTCTTGGGTATTTCTTCTTGTTTTGGATCCATTACTGATGAACTAGCGTGATGCTTTGAGGGAGTGTTAAAAACCTTGTTTTGTCATATTCCCAGGATTGTTTTTCTGGTTCCTTCTCTTTTGGGTAGGCTATGGCATAGGGAAAGTCTAGGGCTCAAGGCTGCTGTTCAGATCCTTTTGTCCCATGGAGTGTTCCCTTGATGTAGTCCTCTCCCCCTTTTCCAAGGGATGTGGCTTCCTGAGAGCTGAGCTGTAGTGATTGTTATCTGCCTTCTGGACCTAGCCATCCAGCAGGTCTACCAGGCTCCAGGCTAACACTGGTGGTTGTCTGCACAGAGTCCTGTGATGTGAACCGTCTGCAGGTCTCTCAACTGTAGATACCAGCACAGTATTTGGGGTGTGTCTCGGGTCCTACAGGAGCAATCTGCTTCCTTCAGAGGGCCTGTGGATTCTCTCTACTTTCCTGCCTTTTTCCTACAGTAGTTCCGGAGCAACAGTTCACGATGTGAGTCTCCACACACTGCTCTGTCTGTCTGCATGGCAGCTAGAATCTAATCCTGCCTCCTGTCTGCCATGAGCCTAAAAAATGTAAGTCTCAAGCTTTAAGACCAAAAGGGGTAATTTCTGTGTTTATCCAAAAAAACTATCTATTGGGCTATTGGGTCAGTTTCAAGGTGAAGTTAGGCACAGAGACACAGTTGTAGGGAGAAGGCCAGGTGAGGACGTGGGGAGAAGACAGCCATCTGCAGAACAAGGGCAGAGGTCTGGGGCAGACCCTACCCCACAGCCTTGGAAGGAACCAGCCCTGCCAACACCTCCGTCTTTAACTTTCAGCTTCCAGAACCAGGAGACCATAACTCTCTCTTGTTTAAGTCACCCAGTGTGTGATGCTTTGTGACAGGCAGCCCTGGCAAATGAATAAGCTGCCAGGGAACAGGAACTCCCATTGTGGAATTCACAGAAGTGAGAAATAAATATTTGTGTGATCCATTATATGTTTTCGGTTTGTTTGTCACAGAAACCAGTTTTATCTCACCTAAGAGGTGGGAAGAGAACGCTAAATATCACCATCTACATCATACACTTGTTTACGTCCCAGTCTTCCCCAAGAAGCCAAAGTCCTTTGGCCTGTCCTGTCGGGATTTCCCTGAAGGTTGGTGTGAAAGGAGGGCGTGGTGTGGAGTCCGGCGTGAGGGCAGGCAGGAGGGGCCAGGGAGGGACGGGGACGTGAGGGAGCCCTGAGGTCAACAGCACAGAGCACGGCTGGCGCCCCTTTCAGAATACCAGCCTGGGCTCCACAAGCTTCATTGCTGGGAAGAAATGCTTTGGCCAGGACCTTAAACTCTTCATCATTTACAAAGTGTTCATTTACACCCATTGTTTCATCAAAAGTTTAGAGCTACCCTGAGAGACAGGCAAAGTCAGGAAGTTGTCAAATTCAGTCCAGAGGCCTTTGATGGGGGCTGAGCAAGGAGCCTGTGCAGGGGCGGGAAAGGTGCATGGCCAGAGCAGAGCACTGGAGCCTGTGTGGGGCCTGAAGGGGTCCAGATGGTGGGGTCCATGTGGGGTATCGGCACTGCACAGAGGAAGAAGGGGCCTGCAAGTGTCAGAGCCGGAGTGAAGAGGGGATTTGTGTAGGAGGAGGCCCAGGGCAGAGTGCGGGTGCTCCAGAGGGTGAAGGGCACCCAGGCCAGAGAGGTGCCCACAGCTCTTGCAGCTCAGGAAACCTGCTACAGATGGGGGCAGTGACCAAATGGGTAAACATGTTAAGGATGATGGAAACCAGGTTTTTTTCTTACCGAAGAAGGGAATGACAAATATGGGGAAGGAAGGAAGGAAGGAAAGAAGGGAGGGAGGGAGGGAGGAAGGGAGGGAGGAAGGAAAGGAAAGAAAAAGAAAGAAAAGAAAGAGAAAAAGAGAGAAAGAGAGAGAGAGAGAGAGAGGGAGGGAGGGAGAAGACTAGAAAGACGAACCCTGTGGTGCAGGTTGGATTTGGAGGCTTTGGCGTGAACATACGGTTTTCAATGTACTGTATGGAGACAGCTGTACAAATAAATATGGATGCCAATGTGAGTATGTGTGTGCAACGGGCCTACCCAGTGCCCCAATACTGTTTCTAAATTTTGTTATCTACTAACAGGGCCCAAGTTTCTTTGACAAATGGCTGATTCCTGCTCTGGGACTAAAAAAGCACAAAATGAGTCTGGAATATCTTCCTTCTTGTGCAAAAAGTAATAAGAATTCACAGAATGATGGGGACATGTCAAAAGGACATGGTGGCTATCTCCACAGGGCTTCCACATGACCAAATCTCGGACAATGAGAATATTAAAATAAATATTTTATTGAGTAAAATGAGAAACTATGAGTTTATAGTGATATAGGTAAATGAATAACTTAGAAGGCTGATAAGGTGCAGGCTATTTACATAGTCTCAAAATATCTTCCCACTAAATACCTATTAATTATAAAGGAAAAATGTCATTAGATTGAAGGGTCAGGGAGAAATCACCTTGACCATGTGACTGAAATTAACATCTGTGATAAGTCCATCCAAACTGCACACCACCTGTGTGTAATGTTGCTGCCTAGCTACTCACGAGGCAATACCAGCAAAAACAGCCTGAGAGCTATTCTATAAAATAACAGCCCTTTGATCCGCAAAGATTTTGAGATCAGGAAAGTCGAGAGAAGACCTAGCAACTGTCCCAGATTGCAGGGAATGCATGGTATGACAGTTAAAATGACATGACAACTAAGGGCAGTCTGTGATCCGGAATAAGCTCCTTTTGCTGAAAAGGACGCTAATGAACGAGCTGGTGAAACACGAAAGCACAAACACTAACTTCCTGACTGTGGTGGCTGTGTTGTTGATTTTGTCCTTGTTTGTAGGAAATACACACTGAAGTTTTCAGGGGATGAAGCACTAGATTTGCATCATGTTGGAAACTCTCTCAACGGTTCAAGAAAAGCTCTTTGTACCGGAGTTGCAGCTTTTCTATAAGTTTGAGATTGTTTCAGAATGAAACAAATTTTGAGTTATCAGACCCATTTTACAGGGTCCCAGGGTGCTTAATTCACCAGCCAGTATGTGAGACAGCCAGGCCAAGTTTCTTGTTTAATTGACTTTTTAAAATTAATTAATTAATTAGAGACAGCGTGTCACTCTGCTGCACAGGCTGGAGTGCTGCGGTGCGATCACAGCTCACTGCAGCCTCGAACTCCTGGGCTCATGTGATCCACCCTCCTCAGCCTCCCAAAATGCTGGGATTCCAACCATGAGCCACTGTGCCTGATCTCAATAACTTTTATAATGCAACATTGTCTCAATATTAGAGTGGTGCAAAGAAAGTAAGTAATTCTACCAGGAGACAGACAAACCTATGTCTAAAACTCCACTCTGTTTAGTAGCTTTATGCCCTGACCACATGCTTCATCTTTCTCATCTGTAGTTATCTAAGGACACATTCAGTGCTAACGTTCTATGATTCTATACTGGGAAAAATCAGTGATAACCAACCAATAATTTTGGCATGGAAGTTGGGGGAAACATTTTTGCTTTCATTACATTTCCTCCCAGGTCCATAAATCAGAGAAGCTGTTACATTACAGAGCAGTGTATCTCCTATTATTGAAATCTAAGAGTGGTCTGAGGGTGGAGTTGGGAATGACGGCTTAAATTATTCATCATGACAGAAATAATTATATTCATACATGAGACAGAAACCCAAATGCCTTTTAGGAGGCCAACTTGAGAAATGTTCCCCAGTGATACAGAAAGTAATAAGATGGGGCCCAGGCCCTATTCACAAGCTTTGATTTTTCGACACTTGCAAAGTGCCCTGTGCTGACAAATGTCTGATTAACAAAATTAAGAAGAGATTTGGCTGCATTCTTAATCCCTCTCCTGGGCCTTTCTGTTTCTGGATTTCTAGGTTGATTATCTTTTCAGGTCAGACTGTTCTCCCTCTGTCTCATTCTTTATCATTTGTAGTTGAGTCAATATGAAGGTTTTCTGCCACAAGAGGCCTAGGGTAGAATAACTATCTCCTTCGCAAGAGGTTCCGCTTCACCAACAATTACACCCCATTATGTCTCAGAAAGGCTGTGGATATCTTGTCACCTTTCCCTTCAAAAGTTCATATGTTTCTTCAAAACAGAAATATAAGCTATTGTATGAAAAAAGTGGCAAGAATGTTTTCATTCAAACCTGGATATGACTTGTGTAGACCCTAGGGCTCTTTTTGTTGCTGTTTGAGTTCACTGGTGTATATTTTGGAGGTTGGGGTGATGAGGGTGGATAGGGAGTATCTTGGGGAACAATCAGTCTGTATGTACACAAAGCCATGGTTATGATATTGAAACTCTAGAGATAGGTATGATTATTAGTGTTATTATTGTTGTTATTTCATATTTGAGGACGATGAAACTGAGATTCTGATGTCTTCCCCTAAAAGTCAGACAGGCAGTAGAATTGAAACTTAAACATAGGTTTTTCAACTCAAAAATGCCAACCACTAATATGAGCATTTACTAAGAATTGAATTGGTTTATTAAGTATAAACATTGGACTATAAATGACTTGGCTAGTAACTCTGACAAGCAATGAATCATACAAACCATTATTATCAAGGTTAGTTAAAGACTTAATAATATTTTAAGGTTAAATAATTTATTACTAAAATAATATATATTATTATATAAGATTACTATATATCATCAAATACTATATATTATATATGTGTTTTAATTATCTTCTTTCCAGTTAATCCAGTTGAACAAAAATACGTTTACCTTTCTGACCTGGTGGGAAAACATCTGGCATAGCCCCAAATGATATTTTGGCTTTGACAGGTTCTAAAGAAAGGAGAAAAGAGTAAAACAGTGAACAATTACATACATTACAAAAATTTCCTTTAAAAAAAGCTTTATAACAAATAAAGATGAAAACATAAAAAAAAAAAAAATTAGAGATTTGAAGACATTAAATAGAACCAAGGACAAAGCAAAGCAAAAATGGGTGATGTCCTCATTTTTAGCTTAACATTTAAAAAGATATGTATATTAATACTCAGGCCAAAAAGAAGGGAAAAATCAGCAGGACCTGAATGTGTGGGTTGATGGGGGATGGGGGCTCTCTTGAGGGAACCTGTTCACAATGTTGCATTCATTTTTTTGGCTCTGCATTGCAGCCCCAGGGAACTTCTCACCTTTGATTTTTCCACTGCAAAGTGAGGAGTTGAACTAAAGTCTCGCAAAGGTCCCTAGAGCTTAATGTTCTACAGCAAGGGTGTCCCTACTTTTGGCTTCCCTGGGCCACATTGGAAGAAGAAGAATTGTCTTGGGTCACACACAAAATATACTGACACTAACGATAGTTGATGAGCTAAAAAGCAAAACCACCAAAAAATCTCAGAATGTTTTAAGAAAGTTTAGGAATTTGAATTGGGCTGCATTCAAAGCTGTCCCGCACAGCATGTGTCCTGCAGGCTGCGGGTTGGACAAGCTTGTTCTAGAGCTCTATGGTTTTATAATTGAATAAAGTCAATTTCATGAAAAACTAGAAAGTGAAAATTCATGACAGAAAAGATCAATTGTTTCCAAATCTCCAATAGCCAAAAATAATGAAAACAACAGCCACAAATCACTGCACACCAGGCCTAGCTCTGAGTGGTTTATATCTTTTAAGACAGCAATCCCCAACCTTTCTGGCACCAGGGACCAGTCTCATGAAAGGTAATATTTCCACGGATCGGGATGGGGGGATGGTTTTAGGATGAAACTGTTTCACCTCAGGTCATCAGGCAATAGATTCTCATAAGGAGCGTGCAACTGAGATCCCTGGCATGCACAGTTCACAATAGGGTTTGCGCTCCTATGACAATCTAATACCACCGCTGATCTGACAGGAGGTGGAGCTCAGGCGGTAATGCTTGCTCACCAACCGCTCATCTCCTACTGTGTGGCCCTGTTCCTAACAGGCCACAGACCAGTACCAGTCCATGGCATGGGGTTTGGGGACCCCTGTTTTACAGCATTCCTTCTGTATAAGCATCTTTAGGAGGACGGCACTAAGAAGTCATTTCCAGCTTTCAGAGGAGAAGGTTTGACACAGAGGTCACAGAGCATGCCTAAGATCCTGTCACTGGTGAGGGCCTGGGTGGACTCAATTCAAAGGCCAAGCAAATTTCCTTCAAAGGTAAAAGGCAAACTGGAAGGTGTTAGAGGAGACCTGAAGAATTGGATGCTGAAAACAGTTTAAGGGAAAGTGGTAGGTTTAAGCGTCGGGAGACCTATTATAATTATGGCAAATTAATTAATTTGCCTTGTACTGAATCCACATCGCTCATAAGATCTCTCACCTCAGTGCCTTGGTTTAGTAGTAATAATGAGAACAACAACAAATGCCAACAGTAATAGCAGCTGACGTACATTGAGCACTAACTGTATGCAATAATATGCAAGGAACTGTTAAACATTCACCTCGGCTGGGCGCAGTGGCTCGTTCCTATAATCCCAGCACTTTGGCAGGCAGAAGTGAGCAGATCATCTGAGGTCAGGAGTTCAAGACCAGCCTGGCCAACATGGTGAAACCCTGTCGCTATGAAAAATACAAAAATTAGCCAGGCGTGGTGCCATGCACCTGTAATCTTAGCTACTTGGGAGGCTGAGGCAGGAGAATCACTTGAACCTAGGATATGGAGGTTGCAGTGAGCCGAGATGATGCCACTGCACTCCAGCCTGGGCGACAGAGCGAGACCCTGTCTCAACAACAACAACAAAAAAAAACAAACTAACTAAGAAAACATTTATCTCATAGAGACCTTGCAAAACACCAGCAGATACACTTTGCTTCCTGTTTTGTGGATAGATAAGTTGCAGTTTGAAGAGTTTAAATCATTTCCTCCAGGTGACATACAGTAACTGGTAGAGCCGCAAATTGATGAGGGTTCTGTTGGATTCTGAAGCCATGTGTTCCTCTCTCTCCCCACTGCCTCAGATGCCATTTTAATGCCTTCACACTGCACTGGCACCATCAGTGGCAGCCAGCTACTGTCTAGAGTGTTCAATGAACAGAAACATCCTATTTCCTAACCATGTTAGAAAAAATGAGAGCTAGAAAAAAGATGCAAATGAAAACATCAACTATCATAAATTGACCTTGTAGCATGGATCTCAACCAAAGCTGGAATATAAGAGTCCCCATGGAAGTTGACTAAAACAGAAGCAAAAGTGAAAGTGCACATGGCTGACACTCTCCCCAGAATGCAGACATTATCTCTTTATCTTCAAGGAGAATATCCAGTTGTCCCAGCACTATTTGTTAAAAAATCGATTCTTGTACCTTCATCAAAGATCAACTGACCATAAATATAAGAGATTACTTCTGGACTTTCAATATTATTTCATCGTCTACATGTCTGTCCTTATGCCAGAACAATACTGATTACTGTAGTTTGTTGTTAAGTTTTGATATTGTGAAGTGTGTGTGTCTTCTTGGGCATGTATAATTTGGAAAAGCTTCGCTAGAATTCTTATACATAGCCAAGGGGTGAGAACCACTGGTCCCAGAAGGCTTTGTTCGGGTGACATCACTAAGGAGATAGGAGATAAGTTTCAGAATAAGCATTGTTTATTTCTGGAAGTGACTCTGGACTCATGAAGAACCTGAGCTTTCCAATATGTCTCCAAAGCTGCTGCTTCAGTGACCAGGACAATAACAGCATTTAACTTCAAAGAAGTGGCTTTCTTTGGGCAAAAGTCCTCTGTTTATTGCTGTTAATGTCAAAGCTTCCATTAAAACATAAAGCTTTTCAAAGTCTAGGTCATAAGGTCTTAACTTGGAGTAAGAGGCTTATTGCAAACAATAATATTTGCATGTATGTGCAAATTCTGGGAGAGGATCTAAAATTTTTTATAAAACTCTCGAAGGGGTTCATGATGCAAAGCAAGAAGCCAAATCCTGTGGATAAATCTGCTCTTTGCAAACCCTATCAGAAGAATCCGAATCCTAACCCAGATGATGGTGGACACTTCCGAGTGACTTGCTGACGACTGTTTCTTAGGCTTCTTCAGAATGGGGGAGTTAGTTGTTTCTCTTGGGGAGAAGTGAGCACTGACTGCCAATGATGCTGAACACTAGGGGTTCCGTCTAGGGCTTGTTGCTTGCTGCACAGAAAGGCAATCACTGAGATGAATATTTCCAGGAAAGAAAGGCTTTGTTCAGGTGACATCACTAAGGAGATAGGAGATGAGTTTCAAATCCATCTTCCCAACCAATCAAAACTTGGGTTTATCTAGCGAGGAAGGAATGTAGCTATGTGTGGGAATACAGAGATTAGGGAGGATAAGGAGGAGGAGTTGGCCAGCAGGAAGCAGGTGGTCAATTAGGCAGTCATGGTGGATGAGGGATCTGGCAACTCATTGTCTGGATGTGGTTATTTGGTAAGTTTCAGTTCCTTGATACTATCTGGGAGGCCTGAAAGAACTCAGATAAGGGCCAGGCTTGGTGGCTCACACCTGTAATCCCAGCACTTTGGGAGGCTGAGGCAGGTGGATATCCTGAGGTCAGGAGTTTGAGACCAGCCTGGCCAACATGATGAAACCCCATCTCTACTAAAAATGCAAAAACTAGCAGGGTGTGGTGGCACATGCCTGTAATCCTAGCTACTTGGGAGGCTGAGGCATGAGAATCACTTGAACCCTGGAGGCGGAGGTTGTAGTGAACAGAGATCATACCACTGCACTTCAGCCTGAGTGACAGAGTGAGACTTCATTTAAAAAAAAAAAAAAAAAAAAAAAAAAACCCAGAGAAGACAAATGTAAGTTTCAACCTTTAATTTTAAGGGGGTGAATTTCTGTGTTTATTCAAAAAACCCACAAACATCAGTTCTATAGGGAAATTGGGCTGGTATCACCAACAACCCTGAGAAACTGTACACTGTGTGTACCTATATTCTGATCATCTGCGAGAGGACAGAGCTCTGGAAGTTTCTTCCCATTCCCAAGTTCTGTGTCCAGCAGCGACCCTGGAGATTTTCAGAAAAGGAAATAGTATATGTAATAGGCTTACTTTCCAGTGAAAACCTTATACCTGCCATTCTTGCCACCCAAGGTGAACCATCCACTCTCCCAGATGCTTCCAGATTTCCTAATTTATGAAATCCTTCTAACACTGCATTTATGTGATGCTGGGCAGTCAATTTTAACTGCATACAATCCAGTCAAAAGCTCCTATCATACGAGGATAATCACCTAGATGTTTGAAACCTTTGTAAACTGTGGGCCCAATCTTTCTTCCCAGCTTTTTTCATGTCCATTCTTCAGGAAGCAAAGATTCTTCTCTTGACAACTCCTTTGTTCTCATGAATATTACAGAAACATTCTTGGTCCTGTCATTTGACAAAGAAACATAAATATTTAGATATTGCGCAGAAGTGGTTGACTGGAAGTATAGACAAATGATCAGGTTTGGGATGTCATAGTTTATTCATTCAGGAATAAAATAGAGACAAAACGACTCCACGGTAGATAGTGTGAAGTGGAAAAGGGTATTTAGGCAGGATTCTTCAGCAGATTGCATGCTGCCAACCTTGCCTTTTTGGATTGTTGAGAAAACAGTCATATAGAGAAACCATAGATTTCAATGGTGAAGGGGAAGAGAATCAAAAATTGTTATACTTTTATGTCCAGCACATTGTATAAGATCTGGATTTCTTCTTTGTTTCCTGAGGCCAGGACCCAACTGTCTCTTCTAAACTCGTGAACTTTTTTTTTTTTTTTGAGATGGAGTCTCACTCTGTTGCCCAGGCTGGAGTGCACTGGCGCAATCTCGGCTCACTGCTAGCTCCACCTCCCGGGTTCACGCCATTCTCCTGCCTCAGCCTCCTGAGTAGCTGGGACTACAGGAGCCTGCCACCATGCCTGGCTAATTTTTTTTTTTTTTGGTGGGGGGGTATTTTTTAGCCAGGATGGTCTCGATCTCCTGACCTTGTGATCTGCCTGCCTCAGCCTCCCAAAATGCTGGGATTACAGGCATGAGCCACCGCACCTGGCCAAAACTCATGAACTCTTAAAGCAACCATGTGTTAATGAGGCCAGTATGAGATGGGAGTAGGCACTTCATCTTCATCTCATCAAATAAGCAACACATCATTGACTCCATAAGATCTGCAGCTTGATTGAAGCTTCTATGGCAGTGACCCAGATATTCTGGTTCATAAAAATACTAAATCCTTTAATGAAACACACAGAATTAAGTTAATATGATTTATGTCACCCGTCACCCAGGGGGCTGATGCTTCATAGTGATCTTGATTAAAGGGAGATTATGAAATACATGCAACCTCCCTCATTTGCATTTAGTTCAAAGAAAATGGCCCAAATGGAACTAAATAGGCATTTGAGCACAAGGAAAAGATTTTTTTTTTTAAATTAGGCATGAAAATGAAACAACGTGCCAATAATTTGCACAGCATTATTTTTGGACTAGAAAGTGAATTAGGCATGAAAAAAGTTCCAAACTGATTATGTTAATTATGTTTCATCTGAACAAGGAAATTTAATAATCTCCATCCCCCAATATACATCAATCTCAAATTTGGTACTTTAAGCTATTTCCATCTTAGAATGTTGAGTGGTGCATATTTTAAACACATGTGGTTTCTTTTTTGATTCGAAGGAAGAAAAAAGTTAGAAACTAGTATGTAATACTCTGTGACATTTGTTTCATTATCTTCATATTACAGGTAAAAATATTGAAGCTCAGTGGGTCCAATCTTAATAGTAGGAAGAAGTAAAGCAGAAATTTAAATTCACGCCTATCTGTTTCCATAGCTCATTATTTTCTACCGCATCATGTTGCCTTCTATTCTTTCCTTTATATCTGGAGCAAAGACTATTTCGCATGACTAATATACCCGTCAAATCCAGAAATGGTACCTGTAACAGAAAACACTCATCTAGCTAATACTGTGTACATCACTTCCTTGGACATGATTATAGGTTTACTATTATCTCTTTCTATAAAACAGTGGTATCTGCTTCCCTTGGACTGAACTAGGCATTGTTTTCACGTGATTTCATAATTTCATATGATCAATGAGAGCCAGCATTGGTGAGTATGTGAAAATTACAGTGGGCTGGATGCAGTGGCTCATTCCTGTAATCCCAGCACTTTGGAATGTTGAAGCGGGAGGATCACTTGAGCCCAGGAGTTTGGGACCAACCTAGGAAACATAATGAGATCTTGTATCTACAAAACATAAAAATTTAGCCCGTGTGTGGCAGGCAGGCATCTGTGGTCCCAGCTACTCAGGAGGCTGAGGCAGGAGGATGGCTTAAGCCCAGGAGGTCAAGGCTGCAGTGAGCCATGATCACGCCACTGCATTCCAGCAACAAAGCAAGAACCTGTCTCAAAAAACAAAAAATACAGTACATTAGTTGACAATTGCTGACATGAACAGGTGCCTGGCTGTTGGCAAAAAACTGACAGGTCTCTGTGCATTTATTTACCTAACCACATTTAAGATGTATGCAAAACAGCTGATGTAAGAACAAAGAAATGTTAAGAGAAAATGCTAAGAAAATAGTAGAGCAAAGCTCAAACAGATAACTAGATCAAAATGAGATGCTATCATGAGGAAGAGGAATCAACACTGTAGAAGAAAGAGAAGAATGATTGGTTGTAAGAACAAATCATAAAAAGGTTGAAGGGGCCACTAGTCAACAAACTGTAATCACAATGGAACAGCAAATCATAAGAAATAAAACGGACTTGCTATGAAATTAGGTATTATTCTCATACTATGCCTACCTCTTATTCCAGCTGCTACAAATATGTTTTTTTCTGTTGAGAAAAAAACCAGTTTCCTCAAAATAAATGTAATGCTTTTCAATGATTATCATCTTTCAGGGACAGACATTTGTCACAATCATCTTGTATCTTCCAAACCTCTATTTATTTACAAACATTTATGTATGTCCTTTCAGCAGCTTAGTAATTGGACTTGTTAAAGTATTTTATCTAGGAAAGATAATATTGCCAATTGTGTGTGTAATGAATAAATACACAAATGTTAATATCACATTAATGATAATTAAGCTCTGCTGTAGTGATGCGTGTGGTGATGAACTCTGCTAGTAATGTAATGAATTCATTCTCAAAGCACAATGTTCCTGACAGCAATTCACAGCTGAGATCTGGATGGTTCAGTGCAGTATCCCTGGAGTCGAGATTGGTGTTTGGCACAAAGAAGGTGCTCAGTGATTGTTTGTTGAATGAATGAAGAAATAAGAAAAAAAGAGAAGGGACAAAGTCTAACATTGTAACCTACAATTTTAGAAGAAAAGAGAGCAGGAACACAAACCAGCTTCAGTATCAATATGCATTTTTACTACTTGGACAATCAAACAACTGCTAACTTCAAGAGCAGGATAAGTGCTGAGAACCTTAGAGAAGCCCACCTGGGGAGACCACTGTGTACACACTAATTTCAATGCTAGAAGAAGAACCTTGGTAACCGGTGGAGCGCCTATCCTAGATGCAAAGGATTGCATCTCAACAGTTTGCTCGTAATTCTTCCAAGGTTTGTCAAAACTGCAAATAGCTTTACACAGAATGATATTTTGGTAATAATCACTGGAAAAATGAGTATGAGATATAAATCAATAATATGTACAGCTTACAAATGTACCCAAATTAAAGATCTTTTATAGCAATGAAATCTAGGTCCAATAATGTAATAGCAGACACTTCAAATGAAAGGGTTTTACCAAGAAAAGAGGAGCTGCTTTAAATGATTTAATAGCAATCTCAAAAGGCTTCTGAAATTTCAATATGAAATTAATGTTAACCGATATTTTACTACACACCTACAAACAGATGCTAATGGATAAATATTGTGTTTCATTTATTTTATTTTATTTATTTAGTTTTCCAAGACAGAGTCACTCTGTTGCCCAGGCTGGAGTGCAATGGCTTGATCTTGGCTCACTGCAACCTCCGCCTCCCAGGTTCAAGCAATTCTCCTGCCTCAGCCTCCCAAGTAGCTGGGATTACAGGCGTACACCACCAGGTCCAGCTAATTTTTGTGTTTTTAGTAGAGACAGGGTTTTGCCATGTTGGCCAGGCTGGTCTCAAACTCCTGGCCTCGTGATCCACCTGCCTCAGCCTCCCAAAGTGCTGGGATTACAGGCTTGAGCCCCCACGCCCAGCCTATTCAGTAAATTCTTTCAAGCTTTATAGACCTATCTGGGCTGGGTTTGTCAACATCTTGTTCTTCTAATCAGCAGTATATTCATGAGAACGAGAACTCAGCATCTTTTTTACTCCACTGGGGTGGCTATTTTAAAGTGAGAGTCTTTCAATCTACTCTAAGGGAAGAAGGATTCCACAAAGGTGTCTTTAAAACATACTATTTCCCTTATCAAAAGAGACAGGAAAAGTCCTCCCTCTCCTCTCTAAAGTTGTTCTGGGCTGCCTCAACATGTCAACTTGGTCTCTACAACAGCACCCTGTGCGTGATGGAAACTTTGATTGGCAGAAAGGAGCTGTAAGTGCTGAAGATTAATCAAAATAAGACTTTTCTGCAGGGAATGCTGGTTTGTAATAAAACATTCGGCGTGTTGCCTAGCATTTCGACGATGAGCTGCACAACATGAAAGGGTTTTTTGTTTTTTTTTTTAATTAAAATGAGTAAACCCTACAAAGCACACAATGTCTAAAAATCTCCATGTGGTAAAAGACACATGCTCAAACCAGTGAGGGACTCAGAAACTGTGGGTCCTCTTTTGGACAGAGCCCTGACTTCAGGTGAATTGATTTTTCTCTGCAGTGGTATAATGGTGGGCAAGAGGTTAATACTTCACCTCTCAAAGCCTCATTTTTTTAAAGCAATCAAATGAAAATATTTGAGTCGCTGCTCTCTAAGTATCTCTCCCACCTCTAAGTTGCTCCTGCCATCTGTGTGGACTGAAGCACAAAGCCAAGCCAAACCATTGAGTTCGGTGCCTCTGGAAGCATTGGTAATCTGCACATTTCAGATTATTCCATTGATGAGGGAAGAGCAGGGTGAGGCCAACTTTCCATGTGAATTCCTTATTCCTTCTGTTGGTAAGGACCTCAGATGAGTCCTACACAAGCCAGCTCTGGCAAAGCAGTTATTTAAGTGACATCAGCTAATGGGCAAGCAGCCCATGAGAATGAGTACTCAGAAACCTACGACAGGGCATGCAGGGGCCCCAGGAGCTCGGGGGCCTGTTGTAGGTCATGCCTCCTGTGTTGCCACGGTGCCCTCCTGCCACCCGGAGGAAGAAAGAGGAGGGAAGAGACCCAGAGAGCAAACACAAGCTGGGGCTTGTGTCTCCACAGAGCGTTCTTTTTGGCAAGCGGTCCTGCTGGGATTGATTCAGACTCTCGAAGGAAATTGATGAATGGTTCTGTGGACAGAATGGAATCTAAAGAAACAGTTTTTCTTGCCTTCCCTTGTACCTTGGGAGTGAGGGTTGAATTACCTTTCTGACTTGATTCACTGCCGCTGAGAAACTCATTAAAGGGCCCTCTGTCTAAATGGTTTATTTGATGTCCTTATAGCTGGAGAAGGATCGTGAGGAGGCAGGCAGAGCTACGGATGCATTTTTGTCTCACTAAAGTGCACGTATTTCATTAAGGATGATGTGGCATGGTGTCCATTTGCTGGTAAAGACACCCTGTCTTGTCTGTCAAAGCCTACAGCGTTCTCTGTGGCTGGCCCATCGGTATTTTATACATGACACATAGAACCCCCCTTTCTAATTACGTTCTTCAAGAAAAAACTCACACACCCAACCCATAGCATTGCAGGAATGTTCCCCGCCTGCTCTGAAAGGCAGAGGGCTCATAGCCCTATTTTGTTAGCGGATCATAGCTTAGGCCGGCACCACCTGTCACGTTGTGGGAGACAAACTGCCTGCATTCTGGACGCGGTCTCTGGCTGCCGTGCACAGCAGGTGTCAGAGGCAGCACCCAAGGCTCACATCCACCAGAATCGTCACAGGCAGAAAGCTGGATCTGGAGTTTCCACCCTGAACTC
The DNA here is from genome assembly GCF_000001405.40 of Homo sapiens. NCBI lineage: Eukaryota > Metazoa > Chordata > Mammalia > Primates > Hominidae > Homo > Homo sapiens. The sequence continues at coordinate 6,877,366 of NC_000010.11, read as the reverse complement.
TGCTATCAGGAAACCACGTCCTCTTCTCTCTTTCAGCCTTCGTTTCCGTATCCAGGGATGATGATATTATTATGGAGATTTTCTAGGAAGACTAAAAGAGAAATTATATCTGAAAACCATGTATAAACTGAAAACATGCAGTTAAAAGCTTTTTTAATTATTTTATTTCTGTGATCCTCATTTAGCACTCTGATGGTTAATGAGGTACTGTACTAATCATGTTATTTATTAACATCTTTTGTATTTTATGATGCTTTGACATCTCGGGGCCTTGTGAATCTGGGAAGGAATGGCCCCCTGAGGTTAGCTAATTTCTAGGGATACTAGGCTTGCAGATGAGTGCGCCCATGACATGCAAACCAACCAATCCTGTCCATGCCCCACCCTCATCCTTTTATCCGGTTCCTGCAGTCTGTGATACTATTCTCCTGCCCTCCATCACCCTAGGACCAGGTATCTGACAAGGGGGGACCACCCCAGCACCCCGGAGCCTGCAGAAATGGCTTGAACTACCCAGCCCCAGGTGTGTGCGCAGCTCCCTCACCTTGCCTCCTGTGACACCCAGTAAAGGCTTCCACCCGGCTCTTCCCTCCTTCCCCCCGGCTGCTGGCTGGCCCTGCTGCTTCCCCACATGGCCCTGCGTGGTGTGCCCTCCCCCTGTTTCCAGGGGTGATGTGAGAGTTTAAATGCTTCCTGTCTTAACAGTCATTTCTGTGTCTGTGCAGGTCTTATCATACCTGATTAAAACAAATCCCAGGGGTGTGTGTGTGTGAGAGAGAGAGAGAGAGAGAGAGAGACAGACAGAGAGATATTTTAGAGACAGAATCTTGCTCTGTTGCTGGAGTGCAGTGATGTCATCATGGCAAATTGCAGCCTCCATCTCCTGGGCTCAAGTAATCCTCCCGCCTCAGCCTCCCAAGTAGCTGGGACCATAGGCACTCATGCCCACACGTGGCTAATTTTTTATTTCTTGTAGAGACGGAGTCTCCCTATGTTGCCCAGGCTGGTCTTGGACTCCTGGACTCAAGCGATCCTCCCACCTCAGCCTCCCAAAATGCTGGGATTACAGGCATGAGCAACCATGCCTTGCCCCAGGTAAAATTTTAAGATGGGTACCCATACGAATACAGCATTTCTGGAATGAACAAATCCATGGAACAGAAAAGGCAATGACCTGTGTGTTTGGTGAGGCTGCTTCATCTCTGGGTGGCAGGGTTGGAGTGGGTGCAGCTGGGGCTTACTGGATAAGCTGCCCCTTGGAATTGCGAGCAGGTGCCAGGTGCCTGAGCTCCTCCTCAGGGCAGGCAGGGCAGCTCTTGTTGGTGTGGGATTTCTTTAATCGCCACCACCCGCTCCTGCTGTGCCACAAAGGTTTAATGCTTGGCCAGACTGAAAACTATTGGTATGAATCACCTATAAAGTTTGCTCCAGCTTTAAAATATTATTATACTAAATAAACCCTGGGGGACCATTTTGTGGGCCAAAGATATTTGAGGTAGTTGAATTAGATATAGAAAGATCCAAAATATTAGATCGCATAGGCTACTCCCTTTGATCTAAAAAAAAAATACATTTACCATCTTTTAAAATGAAGTAGAAGGAGGGGGCAAGGTTTTCCCCCACATTTGAGCGGATTAGAAAACTGTTGTGTCCATTAAGTAAGGATGATGACACGTGATCATGTGGCCTTCTGGGTTTTCCTTTTGGCCCTGAGCTGTTTGATAGAAGGAACAGCTTTGTGATATATAATTCAGTGTCTTGTATCTGGCCCCGGAGGCTGCTGAGCTAGTTTATATAATGATCATATTCATGAGGGAAAAATTAATTGCATCTTCCTCACCAGTTGCTGAGTGCTACAGTATCATTGGAAAAACCAGAATTCCCCTTAGGAAACACAATTTCAAGTTAATATACAGCAATGCTGTGCATGACTTTATTAATCTAGAGCCAGGGCAGATGAGGAAGTGGGAACTGGCCGACTGCAGGCTGGAGACGTTGCTCTTGCCTGGCCAGTCCACGGGCCAGCTGTGTGATTGGGGTCACTCCCTTAACCTCTCTGTTCTTTAGGTTCCTTCCCTAAATGTGGAGCTGAAATAATCACATATATCTCTTGGGCACACATAATAAAAACAAATGAGATAATGTCTTTGGAGGGATTTGAGTTCCTTGAAGATAATTACCATAACATACACAAACACTCTGCGTGTGTGTGTGTGTGTGTGTGTGTGTGTGTGTGTGTCTATGCATGATATCAGTATAACAAAGGCAGAAACTGTAACCCCCCAAAAATGTAATTCTACTCCACCCATTCTCCTTAACATAAAAGCCATTTCTCCTCCACAGAGCGGCTGTGAAAATTACTGCTAAGTTACTACTAATGCTCCCAACAGATTGCATTTGGAAAAGGATGTTTCGTGTCCTGCAGCTAGAATTCCATGTGTCCTATGGGAATGACCCAGGTTGGGCTCAGGAAAGACCTCAGACATGTTTTCCAATGGCCACCATCAAATCCCTGTTGTGTATTCTTTTCCCTGCTAATCGCTGTAGTGTTTAATTGTTAAAGCCATATGTGTTTCAAGGGAAATTGAATCCATATGTTTCTGATTCATTTGCACTGAGCTCATCAAATTGTTGTTTTATAAGAGCCGTTTGCTGTCCAGGAAGAATTCCCCAGTGCCCCTCCCCACACCGTTCTATGCTGTCTAATATCTTTAAAACAGGACTCTGTGCTCTGCCCAGCAAAACCCTCTATCACTACCGTACTACTGCAATCACCTTCTCCACTGTAACGTTTTACATGATAAAAGTTAGCCTCTTTTCATGGAGTAAGACAAGACGGTATCTTACAGAAAAGCCGCCTAAGTGTCTCCCATGAAAACTGCAGAGTGAAGATTGAGTTAAACAAAGTTAAGCAAGTCTCTTCGTTGATATCTCAAGACTTTACATTTCAAAAAAGTGAAGGAGCCAGACATAGTGGCTCACGCCTGTAATCCCAGCACTTTGGGAGGCCGAGGCGGGTGGATCACTTGAGGTCAGGAGTTCTAGACCAGCCTGGCCAACATGGTGAAACCCCGTCTCTGCTAAACATACTAAAAAATTAGCCAGGCATGGTGGCATGCACCTGTAATCCCAGCTACTCAGGAGGCCAAGGCAGGAGAATCGCTAGAACCTGAGGAAGCAGAGTGCAGTGAGCCGAGATCATGCTACTCAGTCCAGCCTAGGGGACAGAGCAAGACTGTGTCAAAAAAAAAAAAAAAAACAACTAAGGTTAAGTTGCCTAGATTCATTCATTCAACAAACATTTAGAGAGTACCTACTGTGTACTAAGATACACTTTTATATACTAGATATATCACCATGAAAAGATAGCCTGTCCTCATGAAGCATATATTCCATTTCCCAAACATATTTTGATCAAGGAAACCAGTATTCTAAAAAATTGCTCTTTAAGGAACACTAGTTTATAGCGGAAGAAAATGTTAGCTCAACTAACCTGAGTTCCCTTGCGCATGTGCTTAGATTGGAAACTACGATGCCAATATGCAATTCTTTGTCTTAGGATATATTCTGGGAGGAGAGCGAAAAAATAAACAGTTAAGCAAGAGGTAGTTGTGGTCAGGTTATGATACGATATGTGCTGTAAATCAACTAAGGCAAGGTTGCAGTGTGTGGAATGAGGACTGATTTTTCCTTCAGCCAAGGAAGTGACATTGGAGTAGAGACAATTGAATGAGAGAGATGAGCTCATAGGAAGATCTGGGGAAATAAATGACACGAATAGCATTCCATTGGCAAATTTGTTTTTGCAATGAAATCACAGTTAAAATTAATGCTGTACTTCAAAAGACTGAATGACAGGTAGCAGAGAAACTGGAAAGTATCTAAGGCTGAGATCAGCTCTGAGGCAAGGAAATGACCCTTTTAACTTGCACTCGCACAGACCACGGGTCAGGTGGGAGGGAGATGCCTGCAGAGGGGCTGCCTGGTGGCAGAAACAGGCTCACAATCCAATCACAGGCCATTCTCTCCGTCACTCTTCATTAAAGGTTTTTCTGATTCCTAATGGAGAAATTAAGACAGTGTTAGTGCTACTAGGATTTTTGTGGGTGAGTTTATACACATAGTATTGTAGATATCTTTTTTTTTTCCCAGAATCTTCCCCAGTCTGGAACTGCCTCTTCCCTAGGTGGCCTTGTTTTGTCTCTATCAGATGCAGACTGTCCAGTCAGAGTGCATTATTCCTTTGGTTCCAGAGACTGGCTCAGGGAAGGAAAGGCAAGGTCCGAGCTGGACCAACCAGAGCTACTCAGGAAGCTATTTCTCTCCTTTGGCTAAAGGCAAGGACCAAGTAACCCAAAGTAGTTGATGTCAATCTTTGCAAGAACCAGAGGATAATTTAAGCTCTGGAATCCAGCCTTGCTTAATGCTAAGACTGCTACTGGACTTTGTAGTTATCAACACCAATACATTCCCTTTTTTGACTTGAGCGAATTGATGACCTTTTCTTGTGATTCCAGCCATAAGAGCTGTAACAGGGTGTCATTTAATTTGGTTATTTGTTGTGTGCCAGTAATTCATGTCATAGCTTGGACACATCTATTTTTTGTTTCCTTTATGCAGTTCCAGGTAGGAGGCTCCTTTCCGTATTGTTAAGGTTAGGTACCTACAGCAAGATGGAGTCAGGAGTGCAGACTGAGAGGAGCAGTAAGTAGCAACACTTACAGAAAGTTGCCCAAATGCCACCAGTTCCCATGTGAAAACACCATGTTGTGTATTCTAAGGATATCATTTGGCTTTGTGTCCTCAACAAATCTCATGTCAAATTGTAATCCCCAGTGTTGGAAGTAGGGCCTGGTGGGAGGTGACTGGATTGTGGGGGTGAAGTTCTCGTGAATGGTTTAGAACCATCCCCCCTTGGTTCTGTCCAGTGAGTGTGTTCTCACTAGATCTGGTTGTTTAAAAGTGTGTGGCACCTGCTTCCTCTCTCTCTCGCTCCATCCTGCTCCCGCCATGTGACATGCCTCTTCCCACTTTGCCTTGTGCCATGAGTAAAAGCTCCCTGAGGCCACCCCAGAAATAGAAGACACTATGCAGCCACTTGCCAGCAGAACCATGAGCCAATTAAACCTCTTTTCTTTGTAAATTACTCAGTCTCAGGCATTTCTTTATAGCAATGCAAGAATAGACCAAAACATCTAATATTAACGAAATAGTGACTAGATAAGTGATTTAACTGTTTGTGTACAAAATCCTCACCGTGCCAAAATATAGTACTCCTTTCTACTGATGATGAAAACTAGGATACCTTTAAAACAGCAAGGACTCCAAGCTAGAGTCTCTGGTGTTATTGAGCTGCAATCAAGCGCATCCTGGAGAGGGAGATCCTGTCCATCATGAGGCCAAGCCTGGGAAACAGAAGCGCTGAAGAAGCTGCCTGCTCACTATGATTTCTGACCTCAGCTCTATCAGGGGTGCTCTAGAGGGCCTAGGATCACTGAAAAACATTCTCTTGTTTCTCTCCCACCTCGTCCCAGTTTTGCACAAACACTTGTTTCTGCATCGCCTTAAAATGATGATAATTTGGGAGGCCAAGGCGGGTGGATCACCTGAGGTCAGGAGTTTGAGACCAGCCTGGCCAACATGGCGAAACCCCGCCTCTACTAAAAATACAAAAAAATTAGCCGGGCGTTGTGGTGAGTGCCTATAGTCCCACCTACTCGGGAGGCTGAGGCAGGAGAATCACCGGAACGCGAAAGGTGGAGGTTGCAGTGAGCTGAGATCACGTCCCTGCACTCCAGCCTGGGTGACAGAGCAAGAATCCATCTCAAAAACCAAAAGGAAAAACAAACAAACAAAAAAATCCATGATAATATTGCCAAAGACCAGTCAGGGTGTTATACAAAATGGCCAATAAAAATGATTGAAATGCATTTTTAAACTATAAAGTCATCTTAAGATTGTTTGGCAGGCACTCCGTGGGGCTGCTTCTTGTTAATGAGCTGCTGAAGATGGGCCAGTGTCACCCAGAAGAGCGGCGCTCACGGCTGCCCTGATGACGTCAAGTTCACGGATCATGTGATCGTAAACAGACATCAAGATCATGGATGACGTGATCTTAAACAAGATGATCTTTCTGAGCCTCAGTGTTAGAGAAATTCTAAATCTCATTTTTTAACTTTGTTAAAAGTAATTAGAATAAAAATAAATGTATCCTTGGCATCTTGGAGAGAGACACGGCGTCGTTCTTAATGTTTAACCATGGGGGAAAAGACTCCATCGGACTGGATTCACCATTTCATGCCCAACGGTGGTGCACTGTAGGCGTTCAGTAAATATTTGTTGATTAATAATTGACTGTTGGAATAAATTAGTGGAGAATCAATTACTTCCTATTTTAAGTATCCATTGACTAAGTTTCCCAAATAGTTGCAGTGAAAACTAAAGATCCTTGTTAAATGCTGGCTATGTCCAAACAAGCTGTTTTTCTCCTGCTACCAGCTGAAACTAACTGTAACTTTCCCATATCTCCCTACCTACAAAAGACAGCTATCTCATCAGTATTGAGCACACTCAGTGGACTCACTAGAATACTGTAATAATTTCTGAGTTATGAAAATACTCACAGTTGTGGCCGATGTACTTTGAGAACCTTACAATCCAAAATAATCAGATGCGCTTAAAACATAAAACAGTAAGTCCTTGTGTAGTATATAGAACATAAAAAAGTCACAAAATCAAGTTTCACTTTTTTCAGTCAATTAGTCAACAAATAGAGACAGTTATCGTGTTAAACACCTGGGACTCAAAGCAAAACATAGAAATACTCCCTCAAGAAGCTCACAGTCTACAGAAAAAAAGACAAGTCCACCATTACAAGTGAGGTGTGTGAGAACTTCTGTTCCACAGGCATGCCCCCCAATCGAGAAGAGGCTGCAGAAGTCACCTTACCCAGTGAGGGTAAGGGTGACCAGGAGAGGTTTAACAAGGGTAGGAGCTGACCTTTTGTGTTAAATATGCATAAGATTTACCATCTTAACCATTTTTTTTTTTGAGATGGAGTTTTGGAGTTTCACCCTTGTCACCCAGGCTGGAGTGCAATGGCACGAACTTGGCTCACTGCAACCTCTGCATCCTGGGTTCAAGCAATTCTCCTGCCTCAGCCTCCTGAGTAGCTGGGATTACAGGCGTGTGCCACCACACCCGGATAATTTTTGTATTTTTAGTAGAGATGGGGTTTCACCATGTTGGCCAGCCTGGTCTCAAACTCCTGACCTCAGGTGATCCACCTGCCTCGGCCTCCCAAAGTGCTGGGATTACAGGGATGAGCCACCGCGCCTGGCCCAACCATTTTTAAGTATATGCTTCAGCAGCATTAAGTACATCCACACTGTTGTGCAACCATCACCACCACCCATCTCCATAACTCTTTTCATTTTCCTCATCTGATACGCTATACCCCATAAATGATGAGTCCCCATCCCACCATTCTCCACCCCCTGGTAAACACCGTTCTACTTTCTGACTACTATAGGTACCTCATAAAGTGGAATCATATAGTATGTGTCATTTTGTGACTGGCCTATTTCACTTAGCATAAAGTCTTCAGCGTTCAGCCATGTTGCAGCCTGTGTCAGAACTTCCTTTGTAAGCTGAATAATATTCTATTATATGGATACACCACATTTTGTTGATCCATTTATCCGCTATGAGACATGAGGGTACACATAGTGAGTCAATAAATAGTGACAGGCATTGTGCCAGACACCTGGGACTCAAAGCAAAACATACACTTGCTCCCTTAAGAAGCTCATAATCTAAAGAGATAGATTCTGTTCACATGGGGCTGATTTTTGAATTGATCCTTAAAGGATAAGGAGATTTCCACAAGTATTATAAGGTGAAGAAGGGCATTCCAGGAAAGTGTGATCAGTTGTACCACTTTTCAGGAACTTCAGGTGGTCCACTCTGCTGGGAGCATTTTGATCCAGTGGGGAAATGATAAGAGATGAAGTCAGAGAGATAGGCAGGTGCTGGATCATAAACAGAGCTTTGGAATTTAAACAACAGGCCATGGTGGAAAACATGGACATATTTAAGAGGACAGAATTAACATGTCATTGTATAACAAGTCTTAGGACCCAGCCACTGAAAGAAGGTGATAAGAAAGCAAATTGACCATTTGTTAACATGATGTGGTAGAAAGTCCCCAAGATGGTCCCCAGCAATCCTCATTATGTCAAGGCAAGAAAATCACGACAAGATTCTTTAGACGGTGTCCATCGTCACAGAATTTTGTTCCTCTTTTCTGATTGAGTCTACTCTATCTTCTATTATTTATGTGTATCGTATTTTGCTACTATTCTGGGTTTCTTAAACATTGAGAAGTTACAATCCTATGGGACCTTTATTCTGCCTTCACCCCTGTTTCTGGCTTGTAATAATATTGGTTAACATTTTCTGAACCTTTTTTCTGACACTATGTGTGGATCTTCCCAGTGAGTCAGTTACCCAAGGTTCGCATATTTATTCTATTTACTTTAAAACAAATCACAAAACATTTCCTCTATGCCAGACATCAGTCTTTTGCCTATTTTGTTCTATTTGTCTTTATCTCGTTGATGAATACTCTTATTCACGCTTACAGGAGCTAAAGGGTTTAACCAGGAAAGAGTTAAAGAAACCCCAGACAACAGTTTCCAATGATAAAAGAGCTGTTCCACCCAGAGACACCTACTCTGCACTGAACCTTAGTAATTGATTTAATAACGGGTGATAGAGATGTGGGTATGAAGAGTGTGAATATGCTTTGGTTGGTTTTTCTGCTTCTCTGATACTGTGCTTGATAGCTAGTACGACAAATTACATAGATGCAGTAGTCATGGTCAAAGGAAAAAGAAATGCCTTTTTGACAGCACTGACAATTACTGAATCCCATCATGCGGGGCCTGTTGCAAATAATATAATCACACGAAAATACAAATTTTATCCGTGCACTGTTTGAACTCCAGGATCTCACCCCATCATTAAACACACTTAGCCGAGCCAACAGAGCCATTTGCAATTCTGATAGGACTCAGTGCAGAGCAGCTGTCTGGACCAAAGTGGAATCCCAGCCTCCTTCAACTCTGAGTGTGTTTGCCTGGGAGTGACCTCTGTTCTTTTATCTTGCCAGGAGCTGAGTTAGAACAATCCAGTTCATACTAGTTCATAGTTTGCCTGACCTGAGCATACATCTAAAAGGAAATCAATAGAGCAGAAAGCCCTTGTCCAGAAAATAAGAGGAAGGCCAGTGATAAGGTTATGCATCTACTTGTGTGGCAAATGGAAAGAGACAAGTATCTGCTTGCAGGGAGCTGCCATGCTCTCTTCTAACCAGATTTGTAGCTTCCAGTTTAAGTAGGTTTAAAGTTTCCAACTGTGTGTGGAGTCCTTTAAGAAAATGTGATTTTAAAACACTCCAAGTTCTTAAGGAACATCATTTTCCAAATGGACATCCATGCTTTAAAAGCTTTCTTTACAAAAATACTCAGGGTTCAACTGCTTTTCCATAGCTGGTGCTTTCAGTGTAGGATTTGATTTACAAACCCTAATTCACAATCTAAATTTTAAAAATCCACAAAATGCATGTAGTCCCCCAGAATGAACTTGACCATCTGTCAGAGTCCAGTGATGATTCGCAAAGCAGGGCACTTAGTTACCTGGAAGTTAAAAGAGCCCATTTTTAATCTCAACATATTATGAACAACACTAAAATCTGCTTGATAGTAGATTTATCTGAATGATAAAAGCGTGAGTGATTATGACTAATAGTGAATAATCGTTGCCATTAATAATTATAGTTATTGCTAAGTTGGTTTTATCACTGCCCGCTTCACATTTATATCTAATGTAAAATATGATAAGGTTTGATTTCAAGAGGCAAGTAATAATGATAATAACATAGTAAAAGCTTGTCTTGAAGGATCTCATTATACCGTAAAGTAGATATCCTGCTGTTCAAATAATAGCCAGCAATATGCATACTAACTTATAGTACCTTAACTTATAGTACACCGTTTTCACTAATCTAGAGATAATCTAATATGAAGGTGCAAGCCCTGTCCTCTGCTACCGAAATTGTGAAGGCATTCTCCTGTTTTCAAAATAGTAATTAAAATCACTATTTTGAGAGCCTAGCACATATAGTTATGTATACAAGGGAATTTACTGCAACAAATTGTTGTGATAGTCCTCCCCTCCAAAAAAAAGAAGAAAGAAAGAAGGAAGGAAAGAAAAAAAGAAAGAGAAAGAGAAGGAGGGAGGGAGGAAGGAAGGAAGGAAAGGAAGGAAGGAACGGAGGAAGGGAGGGAGGGAGGGAGGAAGTGAGGAAGGAAGGGAGGAAGGAAAGGAAGGAACGAAAGAAGGAAGGAAGGAGGGGAGGAAGGGAGGGAGGAAGGAAGGAAGTGAGGAAAGGAGGAAGGAAGGAGGGAAGGAAGGAAGGAAAAAAACCCAAATGTTTACCAATACAGTATAGGTTGAATAAATGGTAACATGTTTGTACTCTAGGCTGGAGCATACCTAGCAAAAAGAATGATTTAAAGAGAATAAGTTAGAGCTGTATGTTTCTATAGAAAAAGATGCATATTATATTAAGTTAAAAATATTACATAGCAAGTAGTATATGGTATATCCCATTTTTGTTGAAAATGTATAAAAAATTTTAAAAAGAGCAGAGAGGGGAAAGGAAGGGAGAAGAAAGGAAGAGAAGGAGGAAGGAAGAGATGGAAGGGTGATCTATATGTCTACACGAGCATAGAAAAATACACGGAAGTACGTTGAGTGAAAGGTTAACATTCTTCTGGATATAGAATATGAAGAGGGAGAAGAGTTAATGATTTATTTCTAAACCCCTGTTTGTTTTACTCGTGGTGCAAGTTTTTATTATTTCTATGATATTTCAAAATTCCAAAGAAGTACAAAAACCTAAAAACATAAGTAATAACAACTTTTATCTGAGATTCCTTGACTCAAGAGTTTCATTTCCCAAAGTTGAAAAAGAATTACAATGTCATTATTTTATTTTTATGTATATCATTAACAGATACACTTTAAAAAAAAACAAATAGGCCATTGATTTGGACTATTAGAAAAGAAAAACATTTCCTTTATAGGCAATTTATGTCTATTCATTGAACACCTAACTTTAACGTGGGTATTTATAATGCTTAATATTGATATCTTTCTTTGCTATTTACAAAGCACCTTCATGAGCACAGTTAAATTTAATCTTCAGAACAAAAAATTCAGGATTATTTTACTTCAAAGGAATAAGTGCCTACAATCCTACTCCATCCACTTTCACCACAAAAGTTAAACTAAGGTTTACAACAATACTACTGCTTTTACTAAGGAGAACATAGGCTTCTTGTAGAGATACTGTGTCAAGAATGCATTCATGAAACAGACAAAACCAAAATAAATGATATAGTCTCTAAATGAAAAGAGAAATTGTAGCAAACAGTTCATACTTGGTTTAAGTAACTTACTAAAATAATTTTTTTTATTGGAGCTGTTGTCTTTATAAAGGATGGTAATTAAAGTCATGGACTCAAACATTGTCAGTTGATTAGGTATATGAAACTATTCACTATTCTTAATACGGTTTAATACAAATGACATTTCTGGGTTCTGGGCTACAGTGTTAATAGATTGTTTTAGGTTGTTGTTGCTTGCTTTTCTAATTAGGGTGGATTCTTTCAGAAGAAACAAGAACATTTTAGGTAGAAAAATGGCAGTGGAAGAGCTGGTTCTGTTAGAATAGGAAATAATTCATTCTGCTTCTTATGTTTTGGGGAAAGAGAAAAGTGTATTATAATTCTTTCTACATATCTAACGTGTTTTTGGTGATCTTGTCGCATCCTTGCAATGACTGAAATGGGTAGATGGGGCCATTAGAAAATTGTTGTCATGTGGCTGGGCGTGTTGGCTCATGCCTGCAATCCTAGCAATTTGGGAGACCAAGGCAAGCAGATCATCTGAGGTCAGGAGTTCGAGACCAGCCTGGTCAACATGGTGATACCTGTCTCCACTAAAAATACAAAAATTAGCTGGGCATGGTGGCAGGCGCCTGTAATCCCAGCTACTTGGGAGGCTAAGGCAGGAGAGTCACTTGAACCTGGGAGGCGGAGGTTGCAGTGAGCCAAGATCGCACCACTGCACTCCAGCCTGGGCGACAAGAGCAAGACTCTGTCTCAAAAAAAAAAAAAAGAAAAAGAAAAAGAAAGTTGTCGTAACGTACATTTTGTTTCAGGTGAAAGAGAGGCAGGAGGAATATTGGAGACCAGTTATTGGAAGGTGAGGCTAGGGCTGTAATCTCATTTTCCTGACGAGAGTCACACTTCTCTGTGCTTCCCTCATTAAAACACTCAGCCAGATGTATTGTAATTATTTGTTTTATTCTTTTTTGTCACTAGACTGAAAAGCTTGATGTGGATCTTATTCTTGGCTTTATTTCCAGTGCCCAGTATAGACACTGGCCCAAAACAGGTCCTCCAGAAACGTCTACTGAATAAATGAACAAATTGAATCACTATATACTGGCTAGAAATACCTCTCCAGCCACCGAGGCTGACCTTCTGATGTCACCCGGAGAGTACTGTGGTCTAGAGAGGTGACTTGCTGGTAGGACACAGGCATATATCTATTCAACCAGGTCTTGTCAAGGTTCACTGACATTTTTGTCCACAATATCTTCATTTTCTCAATTATATGTCTCTGTCCAATAACTGTAAGTGAAAATGACCCACTTGTAGAAATGGGAGGTTGGAAAACTCCCTTCAGTGTCCCCCTCACCCCTTCCCCACCAAGTAGAATTGATTCCAAATCACATCCACCTCAATTTGGTGCTAGCTAATACTCACAAACTTTTAGTTTGATTGTCAGAAAGCAAGTTGATGATGGAGCTCTGGGGCTGAGTTTTCACATAAGGGTTGTTCTGGTGACCCACATTGGGACAGTAGGGTTAGCACCTTTATGGTGCCTCTGACTCATTCAACGATTGACAGCGGTGCTTCTCAAAGTGTGGTCCCCAGACCCAGAGCATCAGCATTGCCTGGGGACATGTTAGAAATAAATATTGTGAGGTCTTACTCCAGAACTACTTAATTAGAAATGTATAACAAACTATAAGACAGAGCGCGAGAGTTTGAAAAGCATGCCAGCGGTCATCTCTTTACATCGTTTCATCCATTCAGGTGCATCTCCTGCTGTTCCCAATCTACTCATCCTAGGAACCAACTCAGGTATGTTTATGAGTTTATGGGGGTAGTTTATCATACAGTACTTGTAATATATACATTTGACCCTACTGCTCCTCCCATTCAATTTCCAGTGTGGCTTACATCTCAACTATCCTCCTTCCTTCCCCTTCACCTCCCTACCAAGGCGTTGACTGGGCAATCTTCATTGGATTGAACTATTTTTGGTTTCTATCTCATTGAAATCTGTGACCAATAGCACACTGCAGTTCTACTGAACAAACACAGGGAGAAAGTCTAGGGTGAAGCAGAACAGCTCCAGGCTGGCCTATTAAAAAGGCAAAAAACCCTAGGGCAGGGTCTCAGCAACCTCTCTCTCTCAATCGCCAATGAGGTAGGAGACCAGCAGGATTTGTTCCTGATCACAACCCTGCTGACCAAAACCAGATCTGATCCAGACAGAAAGAAGTGAACAAACAGGTCAAACACAGCAGATGGCACTGAAAGTGGTTCCTAGCTGTCCTCATTGTTCATTAGCATAAAGACACTCCCACCAGTGCCATGACAGTTTCCAAATGCTATGGCAACCCCCTAGAATTTACCACCCTTTCCATGACAATGACCCAGAAATTACTACCCTTTTCCTAGAAAGTTCTGATTAACCCACCTCTCAATTTGCATTAACTAACCCCTTAATTTGCATGTATGTAATAGTGGATACAAGTGGATATAAAATACAGTTGCCAACAGCCCACAAGTGCAGCTCTGGATGCAGCTCCTGTTCTGTAAAAGATGGCTGTCTAATGCCACTGGCTCACCGTTAAATTATTTCCTGGGCGAAGCCTCTGTTGTGGGGCTCACCTGCCCACCTGCATCACTGGGACTAAATGGTCTTTGATGTATAATATGTTCACATTTGCATAAGGACCTAAAGATGAAAAAAGAAATCTCTTCTTCAAATTGTTTATATTCCAGTGGGATCTAGATGAGACTAGGAGCAGGCACGAAAATGGTCATTATTTTGGGCGCATCCTATAAAACAGCAACATTTATAGGCTCACTAAGTAATTGTGGGCAAATGACTTAAAAAAAATCTTGTAGGGCCTGAAAGTTAAAAGTGCTCAAGAACAAAATGATTAGGGCGTTTCAAAGGGACATGAGAGCCAACACTCAAAAGCTCGCAATGGCCAAAGCAGAAACAATTTGAGCAACAAAATAAATAAAGTAACGTTGGATTAAAACTCAAAGTATAACACATGAAGGTTCATACTGAGACAAACATATAATTGAATAAATAAATAAAGAGGATCAAAGACAAACCCTCTTTCCAGAAGAATTCTAAAAAGGAGGAGACATTGAATCTCTTCTTTTCTACTTGAGAGTGGGATTTACTTTGGAGAACTTGTTTTCAAAGAGTAAAGAATGGAAAGGGGGAAAAGGTAACTTTATAGTGGAGAAACCTGGGCACTTTTTAGTGGAGAAACCAGACACCACCTTGGCCAGGTGACCAAGGTCAACATGATTGGCGGTAAGTCATTTTAATAGCATGTACCCTTGATAGGAGGCCATGGAGATGCCACAGTACCTCGGTGGGACTCCTCCCCCAAACCCAAACCCCAACCCCGTTCTAACTGTGAAAAATGTAGATGAATCCAAAGTGAGGGACACTCTACGAAACAACTGACTAGTACTATGCAACATTGTTAAGGTCAGGAGAAGCAAGGAAAGCCTTACAACCTGTTACTGACCGGAGGGGATGAAGGAGACAGGGAAACTACAACACATGGAATGTGGTATCCTGAATGGGACCCTGGAACCAAAGAATGACACTGGGGAAGAACTGCTGAAATTCAAGTAAAATGTGGAGTCTCGTTAGTGGCAATGTACCAAGGTTGGATTCTGAGTTATAATAACGTACCATAATAATGTAAGATGTTATCAGTAGAGGAAAGGGGATGAGGAGTATATGTCAATTCTCTGTACTAACTTTGCAAATTTGCTAGAAATCTAAAACTATTCTAAAATGTTACAAAGTTTATTTACAGAAGAAGGCTGTTAAGGATTTCAATAATTAGTCATATAGCATTAGGTATATCTCCCAGAGTGTGATGTTCCCCTTCCTGTGTCCATGTGATCTCATTGTTCAATTCCCACCTATGAGTGAGAACATGCAGTGTTTGGTTTATTGTCCTTGCAATAGTTTACTGAGAATGATGATTTCCAGTTTCATCCATGTCCCAACAAAGGACATGAACTCATCATTTTTTATGGCTGCATAGTATTCCATGGTGTATATGTGCCACATTTTCTTAATCCAGTCTATCATTGTTGGACATTTGGGTTGGTGCCAAGTCTTTGCTATTGTGAATAGTGCCACAATAAACATACGTGTGCATGTGTCTTTATAGCAGCATGATTTATAGTCCTTTGGGTATATACCCAGTAATGGGATGGCTGGGTCAAACGGTATTTCTAGTTCTAGATCCCTGAGGAATCGCCACACTGACTTCCACAATGGTTGAACTAGTTGACAGTCCCACCAACAGTGTAAAAGTGTTCCTATTTCTCCACATCCTCTCCAACACCTGTTGTTTCATGACTTTTGAATGATTGCCATTCTAACTGGTGTGAGATGGTATCTCATTGTGGTTTTGATTTGCATTTCTCTGATGGCCAGTGGTGATGAGCATTTTTTCATGTGTTTTTTGGCTGCATAAATGTCTTCTTTTGAGAAGTGTCTGTTCATATCCTTCGCCCACTTTTTGATGGGGTTGTTTGTTTTTTTCTTGTAAATTTGTTTGAGTTCATTGTAGATTCTGGATATTAGCCCTTTGTCAGATGAGTAGGTTGCAAAAATTTTCTCCCATTCTGTAGGTTGCCTGTTCACTCTGATGGTAGTTTCTTTTGCTGTGCAGAAGCTCTTTAGTTTAATTAGATCCCATTTGTCAATTTTGGCTTTTGTTGCCATTGCTTTTGGTGTTTTAGACATGAAGTCCTTGCCCATGCCTGTGTCCTGAATGGTATTGCCTAGGTTTTCTTCTAGGGTTTTTATGGTTTTAGGTCTAACATGTAAGTCTTTAATCCATCTTGAATTGATTTTTGTATAAGGCGTAAGGAAGGGATCCAGTTTCAGCTTTCAACATATGGCTAGCCAGTTTTCCCAGCACCATTTATTAAATAGGGAATCCTTTCCCCATTACTTGTTTTTCTCAGGTTTATCAAAGATCAGATAGTTGTAGATATGTGGCCTTATTTCTGAGGGCTCTGTTCTGTTCCATTGATCTATATCTCTGTTTTGGTACCAGTACCATGCTGTTTTGGTTACTGTAGCCTCGTAGTATAGTTTGAAGTCAGGTAGTGTGATGCCTCCAGCTTTGTTCTTTTGGCTTAGGATTGACTTGGCGATGTGGGCTCTTTTTTGGTTCCATATGAACTTTAAAGTAGTTTTTTCCAATTCTGTGAAGAAAGGCATTGGTAGCTTGATGGGGATGGCATTGAATCTATAAATTACCTTGGGCAGTATGGCCATTTTCACCATATTGATTCTTCCTACCCATGAGCATGGAATGTTCTTCCATTTGTTTGTATCCTCTTTTATTTCATTGAGCAGTGGTTTGTAGTTCTCCTTGAAGAGGTCCTTCAGGTCCCTTGTAAGTTGGATTCCTAGGTATTTTATTCTCTTTGAAGCAATTGTGAATGGGAATTCACTCATGATTTGGCTCTCTGTTTGTCTGTTATTGGTGTCTAAGAATGCTTGTGATTTTTGTACATTGATTTTGTATCCTGAGACTTTGCTGAAGTTGCTTATCAGCTTAAGGAGATTTTGGGCTGAGACAATGGGGTTTTCTAGATATACAGTCATGTCATCTGCAAACAGGGACAATTTGACTTCCTCTTTTCCTAATTGAATACCCTTTATTTCCTTCTCCTGCCTAATTGCCCTGGCCAGAACTTCCAACACTATGTTGAATAGGAGTGGTGAGAGAGGGCATCCCTGTCTTGTGCCAGTTTTCAAAGGGAATGCTTCCAGTTTTTGCCCATTCAATGTGATATTGGCTGTGGGTTTGTCATAGATAGCTCTTATGATTTTGAGATACGTCCCATCAATACCTAATTTATTGAGAGTTTTTAGCATGAAGCGTTGTTGAATTTTGTCAAAGGCCTTTTCTGCATCTATTGAGATAATCATGTGGTTTTTGTCTTTGGTTCTGTTTATATGCTGGATTACATTTATTGATTTGTGTATATTGAACCAGCCTTGTATCCCAGGGATGAAGCCCACTTGATCATGGTGGATAAGCTTTTTGATGTGCTGCTGGATTCAGTTTGCCAGTATTTTATTGAGGATTTTTGCATCAATGTTCATCAAGGATATTGGTCTGAAATTCTCTTTTTTGGTTGTGTCTCTGCCCGGCTTTGGTATCAGGATGATGCTGGCCTCATCAAATGAGTTAGGGAGGATTCCCTCTTTTTCTATTGATTGGAATAGTTTCAGAAGGAATGGTACCAGTTCCTCCTTGTACCTCTGGTAGAATTCGGCTGTGAATCCATCTGGTCCTGGACTCTTTTTGGTTGGTAAGCTATTGATTATTGCCACAATTTCAGCTCCTGATATTGGTCTATTCAGAGATTCAACTTCTTCCTGGTTTAGTCTTGGGAGAGTATATGTGTCGAGGAATTTATCCATTTCTTCTAGATTTTCTAGTTTATTTGCATAGAGGTGTTTGTAGTATTCTCTGATGGTAGTTTGTATTTCTGTGGGATCGGTGGTGATATGCCCTTTATCATTTTTTATTGCATCTATTTGATTCTTCTCTCTTTTTTTCTTTATTAGTCTTGCTAGCATTCTATTAACTTTGTTGATCCTTTCAAAAAACCATCTCCTGGATTCATTAATTTTTTGAAGGGTTTTTTGTGTCTCTATTTCCTTCAGTTCTGCTCTGATTTTAGTTATTTCTTGCCTTCTGCTAGCTTTTGAATGTGTTTGCTCTTGCTTTTCTAGTTCTTTTAATTGTGATGTGAGGGTGTCAATTTTGGATCTTTCCTGCTTTCTCTTGCGGGCATTTAGTGCTATAAACTTCCCTCTACACACTGCTTTGAATGTGTCCCAGAGATTCTGGCATGTTGTGTCTTTGTTCTCGTTGGTTTCAAAGAACATCTTTATTTCTGCCTTCATTTTGTAACGTACCCAGTAGTCATTCAGGAGCAGGTTGTTCAGTTTCCATGTAGTTGAGCGGTTTTGAGTGAGTTTCTTAATCCTGAGTTCTAGTTTGATTGCACTGTGGTCTGAGAGATAGTTTGTTATAATTTCTGTTCTTTTACATTTGCTGAGGAGAGCTTTACTTCCAACTATGTGGTCAATTTTGGAATAGGTGTGGTGTGGTGCTGAAAAAAATGTATATTCTGTTGATTTGGGGTGGAGAGTTCTGTAGATGTCTATGCTAGATGACGAGTTAGTGGGTGCAGTATACCAGCATGGCACATGTATACATATGTAACTAACCTGCACATTGTGCACATGTACCCTAAAACTTAAAGTATAATAATAATTTAAAAAAGAAAAGAAATTTAAGAGAAAAATTAAAATGTAAATAATAATAATAATAATAATTAGTCATATAATAAATGCTCTAGTTTTTAAAAGAGAGAGAGAGAAGGATGTTAGCATTAAACACTTAATCTAACCCAACTTCCTTGTTTGTGAAGATAAGAAAAGTGGGACCCGTAAAGATTGAGACCTTGGCTAGGTTCACACTTTCATGATTTCATAGTTGTGCATATGCTTCAATGGTACCGTAGGTAGCTGTTCTCCCAAACTCTGTCACACAGAACAAATAAGATAAATCATGTTAAATAACTTTTAGATTTTTATAACATAGCTTATTTATTATTGCTAGTATTTTACACCTCAAGAAAAACTGATGTGCAAAATTATAATATAGATAAGTAGGGAAATGCTAATTCTCTTGTTAAATGTTTTTTTGGTTTTTCTTCTTTAAATAAAAGGATTCATTCATGTTCCTTTAATAGCAAGTTTCTGTATTGGAATAGTAAATTATTTACCCACTTTTCCAGACACAGCTACTTTTTACAAGTAATTTATGCCTGGAAGATTTCTCTAGGAAGTTGTTTCTAAGAGTTGGGCTTTCAACCCTATTTTCTTTTTCAAATATTTGTTATTCGAAGTAAAGTTAGTTATTTGTAATGTTTTAAGACCGTATTAAAACTTCAAACGGATAGACATTTTTATTGGGGGAAGGCCTTTATTTTTAATAACTGATCTTTTGTTTTAGGCATCATGAAAATCCCTACACTTGTCTATGATTTCTACTTTTTAGTGAAATGTCACGTCTCTGCTAAATCTGCAGTCTAAGTTATACAACTTAGAAAAAAAGGAATTACTGTGGAAATAGTATTAATTGGAGCCTTTAATTATGTATGTTGGTAAAAATCCATGATCTCAACTCATTTGGGAAATAACAATCTAAATGAATTCCCTGGTAAAACACACACACACACACACACACACGCACACGCACACACACAAAACCACACACACAAAATCCTGGATGGTCAGAGGGTCATTTCATATAAGATAACTGACATATTTCATTGACATCAATTTTTAAATCACTTCTTCTCTCTGGAAAGGATCTTTTATCATTGTAGCCATTAAACAATTCCTTTTGACTTGAGTGTTTGAAGCAAAATGTGACAAAGGACAGGTCTACCAGAGGTTTCCTGGTCTGTTGTTTGCTTATTTTTTTAACATTCTACTTCCTCGTGGGGGTTGTCCTGTAAACAGCACAATCCATCCACTGCTCACAGCAGCACCACATGTTCATACAGCTTTTTAAAATGCACGTAATGTTTTCTGAAGTTCTTAGAATCAGGACACACAGTCTAGAGGAGACGAGAAAAGAACCATCCCAACTCTGCCTCATCGTACCCTGGCTGTGACCATCTCATGGGCAGCCCATTCTGTTTTTATCAGGTGACTTTTTAAAGAACATTCTTCCTTGCATTGAAACATAATGTTATTTATGGGAGCTTTTATCCTGCTGGTCTAGCTTTTTCTTCTCAAACAAGCACAGCAAGGAAGACATCATTAAGACATCAACTTTACAGGACAGAAGATGTCACAAAGAGGTCACTAAGCTAGTAACAGGTAGGTCTGAAGCTAATCCAAGCCCATCAGACAGCCAAGCTCTTAACCACAAATGCTATACCGTTCTAGTTTGGCATGATGGAATCTCAGCTCTAAACAAGGGCATCTGCCCAAGGCAGTCAGTGGGAGCTTAAATCCAGCTGTGTTGGAGGATTATTTCTGCCCAAAGACACCTTCCAGGTGCCTCTTTCTGATGGACATTGATGGACGTTTCTGATGGACGTTGTCCACTCTGGCATGGACTGCAGGGCTGTGTTAGCTCAAGAGGGGAAGCTGCATCTGGTGCACACAGGGGCATGTGCCAGGGAGGCGGTAGCCCCATTAGCCTGATCCATTTCTCATGATCTTGGCAATCACTTATTTTGCTAAAGAATGCTCCAGAATCCTCCTTTTAATTCTCTGCCTGAGTATTTTCCCTGGAGAAATGACAAGGTTACCAGTCTATGGTCATGATGGTTTCCATCCTTCACCCCCACCACCTTTTTTAAAAATATCTACTCAGAATATATCCAGATCAAGATGTCCAGTGCTTCTTCTCCGTAAGCTATTCTCAATATAATAATAATACCTATGTTATTTCTCAAAAGACGGCCAACAGCATGTATTCATACCCATCTGCATAACCTTTCCTACCACCCTGGGAAAGACTGTCTGAAACTAAAGAGTAAAACTCCTCTGAAATGACATCTTCTTCCAATATTCTTACACTTTTTCATTTGTAGGTCATTTGTCATAACAGGAAAAAAAAAAGGGGGACATAGGAAGAATTTTGCTTTTTTCTCTGTTGCGTGCGAGTATTTTATGATCGTTGCCAACAAGTGGCTTGTCCTGGCCTTGAGCTCCCTCCCGCATGGATTAGACCTGGGAATTTTTTGTGATTATTGTTGCCTTATCTATTTTTTTGACATGCTTTTTTGTTTTATACTATTCTATAATAAAAGTCTCTGATTAGACATGTGGCCTTTCACGTTCTCTGTCATTTACCAGTGGGCTTTTGTGAAACCCAATAAGCTTCCTTTGCATCTCCCTCAGTTCTTCCCCATTGAAATTATCTGGATTCTAAGTGTGGTGTACATATGATAAGGCACAGAATGTGGAGTCTATTCTACCTCCCCATTGCCATTTATTCTACATATTTTCATACTCTAACATTGGCCAAGGGGTACATTGTATCCATAAATATCCAAAGACTTCGAATGTTTAATGCTTTTGGCTTACCGCTTGTATTTATAGGAATTTAATCTTAGGGAAGTATGCATGGATAGGTGCAAAGAAATTTAGATGCAAAGTTGTTTATTGTAGCAAAGTTTAAATTAGCCAAAACTTAGAAACAACTTATATGTTTAGTACCTGAATGTTAGTTAAATAAATTCTGGTAGATCCAACCAATGAGTTATTAGGCAGTCTTTAAAAATCATGCTATAACTATAAAACTCCTAGAAAAAAAATGTAGGGGAGGTGCCTTACACGACTGGTCTTGGCAATGATTTCTTGACTATGACACCAAAATCAGAGGTTAAAAAAGCAAAAACAGACAAGTGGGACTATATGAAACCAAAAAGCTTCTGTGCAGCAAAGAAAACAATCAGCAGAGCAAAAGGCATCCTATGGAATTGGAGAGAATATTTGCAAGTCATATATATAAGAGACTAATATCCAAAATATGTGAGGAACCGCTACAACTTAATAGCAAAAAACCAAATAACCCAGTTAAAGACTAGGCAAAGGATTTGGACAAACATTTCTCCAAAAAAGACATACAAATGGCCACCAGTCTATGAAAAGGTGCTCAGCATCACTAATCAGCAGGGGAAGGCAAATCAAAAGCACAGTGGGATATTATCTCACACCTGTCAGGATAACCATTATTTAAACAAAAAACAAAAAGAGACAATAACAAATATTAGCAAGGAAGTGGAGAAATTGAAAGGCTGGTACACTCTTGGTGGGAATGTAAATTGGTAGGTACAGCCATTATGAAAAAAAGATATGGAGGCTCCTCAAAAAATTTAAAATAGAACTCCCATATGATCCAGCAACCCCACTTCTGGGTATTTATTCAAAATAATGGAAATACACTGTGTGTGTGTGTGTGTGTGTGTGTGTGTGTGTGTGTGTGTGTGTGTGATGTTATTCAGCCTTAAGAAAAAAGGAAATTCTGTCATGTAGCTACAACATAGATGAAACTTGAGGACATTATATTAAGTGAAATAAGCCAGTCAGAGGACAAATACTACATGATTCTACTTATATGAAGTAGTTAAAGTAACCAAACTCTTAGAAGCAGAAAATAGCATGGTGGTTGCCAGGGACTGGGGGATAGGCCGAATGGGGAGTTGCTGTTTAATGGGTATAGAATTTTGATCATGAATGATGAAAAAGTTCTAGAGATTTGCTGTAGAACAGTGCACACATGGTTAACAATACTATGTTGTATACTTGAATATTTGTTGAGGGTAGAACTCATGTTGCATGTTTTTTACCATAATAGAGACAAAATCATGCTGTAGCATTTATTGATGGTAAAATGTTTACAATATATTTGTAAATTCTGAAAAACAAATTTATGCATGATATATGTAACTTCAAAAAATACATGCAGAAAAACACATAGAAAATCAACTGTAGGGATAACACCAAACTGTTACTTGTGCTTATCTCTGGGGTATCAGTAATATTAGTTTTCTTTTTTTGAATTTTTATACTTTCCAAAATTAAACATTTGATTTTGTTTCTGAGTTAGTGTTTTAGTTGGTTTTCTTTAGAAATAAAGATGCATTTGCTCAGAATAAGAAATATATTTTCTGAAGCTATTTTTTTTTTTTTCCGAGACGGAGTTTCGCTCTTTTTGCCCAAGCTGGAGCAGTGGTGCGATGTCAGCTCACTGCAACCTCCACCTCCCAGGTTCAAGCAATTCTCCTGCCTCAGCCTCCTGAGTAGCTGGGATTACAGGCGTACATCATCTCACCCAGCTAAGTTTTGTATTTTTAGTAGAGACGGGGTTTCCCCGTGTTGGCCAGGCTGGTCTCAAATGCCTGACCTCAGGTCATGTGCCTACCTCGGCCTTCCAAAGTGCTGGGATTGCAGGCATGAGCCACTGTGCCCGGCCTTTGGAGCTATTTCAAAGTTCTCTTGGATAATGGAAATAGAAAAAACAACAACAACAAAGTAGGATTTTATTCATTCATTTCATCCTACATATATTTACTAAACAGTGTGCCATGCTTTTTCCCTCCCTGTTGGGACATTTTCTGAGAGGTATACTGTCACTTACTGTGTGACTTCAGGTAAGCCATTTGGCCAACGATGAGCTTCACTTCCTGATATTGAAAATGGGGATAATAATAATATGCTCCACCTACTCAATCAGGATTTTGAAGGTTTAATAATGTTAGCAAATACAAAGGCAGCACATTAATTGCAAAACACTGTCATTTTTATGACTATTATCTTTACTATTATATTATCAATTTATTGTATTTTCTCAGATCTTTCAATGTGTGAGGCTGAAACTGCATTTATCAAAACACACTCGGCCTTCCCAGGATCTCCCTAATCTTCCAACAGTATCCCAAGCTTCTTCCTCTCTTCTCTGCAGAGCCAGTCCCAGCTCAACAACCATGAGCTAACGTCCTAAATCTTCTCGCAGAGGATAGTCCAGTAGATTCCATGACTTGCATTAAACTCATTTCCCTTTTTATTTTCCAAACTTGTGAATTTTCTCTTTTTAATAGTTTTACCCTTAGAGTCTTTAAAATTTATATTATTTTCCACGTCATCCCCGTTCTCTGCCCATTCCCACCTTACCATATAACTGACCTGTCGAAGTGGCCTGAGTTCCCTTCAGCATCTCCATACTGCATGGACTTTTCAGGGCAACAGTAGCATGAGATACTCACGAGCAACAAAACGGCTACAGTTTGATATTTTGAGTGCATTCAGAATAACCAAGAATGCATTCAAACCCTACTGCCATATAAAAGGAGAATCCCTTTTCACCTACAAGGAAAGGGATTCCCCTTTTAGATGACAGTAGGGTTTGAGGTGAGTGATAACAGGATATAGCATGGTTAGTAAGCGAAATTATCCCAATAAACATTAGTCTGCTTATCTTCCGTGCATCACATTTATTATTTTATTTTTGTGTGTGTACATTTTTGTACCCAGCAAGATCTTAGTGTTATGGTTGAATTTTGTAGTTTGTAGACACTCCATGTCTCAAAAAAAAAAAAAAAAATATATATATATATATATATATATATATTTGAGATGGAGTCTCGCTCTGTGGCCCAGGCTGAGTGCAGTGAGGCTGTCTCAGCTCACTGCAACCTCCACCTCCCGGGATCAAGGAATTCTCCTGCCTCAGCCTCCTGAGTAGCTGGGAATACAGGAACACACCACCACACCTGACAAATTTTGTATTTTTAGTAGAGACGGGATTTCACCATGTTGGCCAGGTTGATCTCAAACTCCTGACATTAAGTGATCTGCCCACCTTGGCCCCCAAAGTGCTCTGATTACAGCGTGAGCCACCGTCCCCAGCCCCTGTATGTTTTTCTGTCTCACCCTGTGTGTCCCTTCTCCTCTGGTGAATATTAGGTTTTATTCTTTGCATTTTCACCAGAATAAAAGTAAAAGAGTTACTGTGCTTCTCCCAGACTGCCAATCTATTTATTTGCGTCTTACTTTCCTCAAAAGGGAGTTGGTAAGTGATTTTTACAAAAAGGGGCTCATTTATATTTTATATGCATGGTAGATAAAATAAAGATAAAAGAGAAAACAGAACTCACATGGAAAGAGAGGGGGAAGAGGAAGATTAGGGGAGAACATTACTAAAAATGAGCACGAAATTGTCTGAATTTCTTGTTACCCAGTATAATAGAGAAATAAGATAATGCTCTATGCAGTTTGTGTGATAAAAGAAACCATATTGACTTGCTATAAGAGACAATTTTATATTCTATCAAGAAATCCTGTAGACTCTTATTAGGGACATAACATAAACCATGTCCTCAGAACTATTTTCCCAGAAAACATATGCTTTGTAAATTATGTTTATTATCTTACCGGAAGATTTTAAAAATAATTTCATAGAACAAAGAGAGAGTGGAAATGAACCATATTGTTTTGGGGAATGGGACTATCTTAAAATTTTTCTTCCTTTTGCTTTTCTGTATTTTTCCAATTTGTCTATAATGAGTATGAATTACTCATATACGGAAAAAATAAACTTTACTTAAAAATAATAAATAACTGCACTTCACGAAGGTTTTTCTTATACCAGCCTTTGGTAAGAGCTGAGAGCATGGTCCTGAATCTTTGTTCAGGGAAAGGGCTTCTATGAGGACCAAATCATTTTAAACCAAGGAGTTTACATTCTCATGCTCTGCTTGACACAAGTATCTAATGACAAAGTTCAACTTGTTCCTTGGACTGTCTCAACTACCATTTATCTCAACATTTTTGGACATGAGTTAAGTAGCTGTCAATCGGAAGTTTAACTCTCAACTTACTACCAAAAAGCTGAGATTCTTTCTTAGAAGAAAAGGTGATCAAAAAATGCTAAACCTTAGAGAGTCAAGAAGCAATATCAACATGATGCCATGAAATCTAAGAGCTGCTGATTTATGGGATTTTTGGAAAGAGGCTGCTCCATCTTCACATAACAGTAGCAGCATGGAAGGAAGCTTGCTTCAGGGAGGGAGAAATTTTTTTTTTTTAATTAAAGGAAGGTTTGAATTGACCCCAAGCCTGGGTGAGTACTCAGTTGAGTCAGCATAGTTCTGCACCAAGAAGCTTGGAAAAGACTTCTTTGGTCTGTGCAGCTTAAAGGACAACATGCATTTTAAATCAAGTATGTAACTACTTGTTAATAATCTTGGTAAATTTTTATACTTTCCAAAATTAAACATTTGATTTTTCTCTGAGTTAGTATTTTAGTTTTTTTACTTTCGAAATGAAGATGAATGTGTTTGGAATAAGAAATATGTTTTCTGGAGCTATTTCAAAGTTCTCTTGGATAATAGAAAACAACAACAACAACAAAGTGGGATTTTATTCGCTTATTTTACCCTGCAAATTTTTACTGAACAGTGTGCCATACTTTTTTCCTAGGCTACAAACCTGTACAGCATGTGATTCTACTGAATATACGGGCAATTGTTAACACAATGGTAGGTATTTGTGTATCTAAACATACCTAAACATCGAAAAGTAGAGTAGAGGCCCAGTGTGGTGGCTTATGCCTGGAATGCCAGCACTGCGGGAGGCCAAAGTGAGAGAATGGCTTGAAACCAGGTGTTTGAGACCAGGCTGGGCAAGATAGCAAGACCCTATCTCTATAAATTTTTTAAAAAAATATTAGCCAGGTGCAGTGGCTTGGGCCTTTATTTCTAGCTACTCAGGAGGCTGAGGCAGGAGGATCACTTAAGCCCAGGGGCCCATGATTGCACACTGCATTCCAGCCTGAATGACAGCCTGCAGCTTACTTTTTTTTTTAATAACAGTCTGTTTCAAAGAGCAGAAGTTTTTAATTTTGATGAAGTCCAGTTAATCAATTGCTTCTTTTATGATTTTTTCTTTTTTCGGTGGCAAATTTCTGTTTTATTTTGTCTGGAAATAGGTATAGCTCTCATTCCTAAAAATATTCTCACTGAGGATATAAATCTGGTTGACAGTTATCATGTTCTTTCAGCATATTATGCCATTGCCTTCCAACTCTCAGTGCTGCTGTTGAGAAATCAGATGACACGCTAAATGTCTAAAAATGATCAGCAGAATTTTTCTTTTGTGTCTTAAGATTTATTTGCCAAGGTCTCAATAATTTTCTTCTGTATTTTCTTCTAGAGGTTTTATAGTTGTAGGTCTTATATTTAGGTGATCTGTTTCAAGTTAATTTTATATAGTGTAAATTTCACTTTTTTCATATAAATTTTATTTTTGGCATATGGATGAACAATTGTTCTGGTATAATTTGTTGAAATGGCTATCTTTTGCCCATTAAATGGCACCATTGTCAAAAAATAACTGACCATGTATGTGTAGGTCTATTTCTGGAATCTCTATTCAGATCCATTGAGCTAGAAAGTCTCTTCTTTTACCAATACCTTCCTTGATTTCTGTGCTTTTCTGTAAGTCTTGAAATTAGGTACAACAAGTTCTCTGATTTTTTTTTTCTTCAAAACTGTTTTCGGTGTTTTAAGTTCTTTGCTTTGTTGTATAAACTTTAGGATCAACTCATAAATTTTAACCCCAAAAAAAAGCCCTTCTAAGAATTTTATTTGTATTATGTGAGTCTATGGATCTTTTGCGGGAGCACTGATGTATTAACAACCTTGGGGCTTTCCACTCAGGGACACCATACATCCTCTACATTTATTGGATTTCTTTCATTTTTATCACCAATGTTTCACAGCTTTCATCATACAAATCTTCCACATCTTTTGTTAGACTCATCCCTAAGTTTTTGCTGCTCTTTCAAACAGTAATATTTTAAAATTTCAATGACCAATTGTTCATTGCTCACATAAATACAATCAATTTTGTATATACAGTTATTATTTTTAATCTGACAATTTATCCCATACTTTGCTAGATTCTCTGTAGTTTATTACCACCTTTCTAAATATTCTGTCTAGGTAACCCAGAGAGTCAAAGTAAGAATTATTCATTTGGTCAACTGATTAGATTATTTCTGTGCTCTTGGATTCTGTTAATTTCACACTCTATAGGCTGGATGTTCTGCCATCATCAATTTGCATTCCAAGATTTTGTGTGTGTATGTCTCAAAAATATGTTAAGGCAGTTTTAACAATTCTTTAGAAACTCAGGGCCTGGCGCAGTGGCTCACACCTGTAATCCCAGCACTTTGGGAGGCTACGGTGGGAGGATCTCTTGGGCCAAGGAGTATGAAACCAGCCTAGGCAACATGACAAACCCTGTCTCTACAAAAAATATAAAAATTAGCCAGGCATGGTGGTGTGCACTTTTAGTCCCAGCTATTCAGGAGGCTGAGGTGGGAGGACCATTGGAGCCCAGAAGGTTGAAGCTGCAGTGAGCTGTGATCATGCCACTGCACTCCAGCCTGGGCAACAGAGTAAAACCCTGTCTCAAATAAAGAAAAGAAAAGAGAAAAAAAAAGAAACTCAATTGCATCTTAGTTAACAAGCTGGACATTTCACCTGACTGGAGAGGTTGTTAGTGACAGCAGGTTCAGCCAGGTTAATTTATCTCACAGGGCTTGTGTTCAAGTTTCCCCTTTGCACCATCAATGAAGGGTCTAGTGAAGTAGTTACTTCATGTAAAATAAAGAAAATTACTAATAACTTTATTGAAGAATTAAGATTCAGTATTATGCCATCAATGTCATCCTTTCCTTTAAACAGTAAAAATGAATGAATGTTTATAGAGAAATATTTTAAATTTGCAAGCAATTGAAATACAGTGTTATTGTTCTGAATTTTCTGAATTAATTGTCATAAAAAGTGGCACATAAAAATACAGAAATAGCCAGGTTCAGTGGCTCACGCCTGTAATCCCAGCACTTTGGGAGGCTGAGGAAGGCGGATCACCTGAGGTCGGGAGTTCAAAACCAGCCTGACCAACATGGAGAAAGCCCGTCTCCACTAAAAATACAAAATTAGCCAGGCATGGTGGTGCATGTCTGTAATCCCAGCTACTCAGGAGGCTAAGGCAGGAGAATTGCTTGAACCCAGGAGGTGGAGGTTGTGGTGAGCCGAGATCACGCTATTGCACTCCAGCCTGGGAAACGAGCGAAACTCCGTCCCACCCCCCCGACAAAAAATAAATAAATGCAGAAATATACTAGAATACAAAAATAGGAATCTATATTTTTACCATAATCTTATTGGTAAAACAAACAACAAACCCTCAAAACTTTAAAAGACATATAAGAACCCCTTCATCCTTCCAAGCCAAACTAATGAAGAAATCCCTGTCTTAAGGTTTCTTCCTGCAGCTAGCCAATAAGCATTCTTAAATACTCTAGAGAAAGGCACGCTCGCAGCCAGGCAAGGGAATCTGTCCCACTCCCAAATA
Source organism: Homo sapiens (assembly GCF_000001405.40). Taxonomy (NCBI): domain Eukaryota; kingdom Metazoa; phylum Chordata; class Mammalia; order Primates; family Hominidae; genus Homo; species Homo sapiens. The sequence goes on along the minus strand of NC_000010.11, from coordinate 6,847,906 downwards.
CCTGAAATTATTATGTATTTATTTATGATAATGTTAAAACTGCTTCCCTTATACCAATTTATCTAGCGTTGACTCCCAGGGCCACAGGGACTGAGGCCTTAATGTATCTGAAAACAACCCTCATGCCCCACTGTCTTCACTCTCTTAGACAAAGCATTCCTTGTTTGCCCTCATCTCTCCCTTCTATGACAATTTCATTTATGACTCCTTCTTTGGAAATGTGGCTTTGCCAGTACAAATTATGTGCAAAAGCACTAATTTTTTTTTTTTTTGGTCAACACTATCCTTAATGGGCACAGCACAAGATTGTATCATAATCTGTTTCACTCATAGTGAGCTTGTACTTTTTAAATAATACTCCCAGACATTTTTCTGAATTTGTCTTAAGCTATAAGCTTGTGATTTTGAGATTAGTGTTATCGTTAGGTGAAGAAGCTTCGACTTTCCCTCGTTAAAGCAACATAGTCTGAGTAGACAATTAGTGGTCGCAGTTCGAGACCAAGGCGTCTGGCAGTGCCTGAAGTGCTGCTCTGTAATTTTACTAAAAGGAAATGGAAATACTTTAGGATGTTTGGATACAAGACTGACATAGTGCTCTGAGTTTTAAAGAGACTTTTCCAGGTGAAAAATCATCTACAGTATGCACTGAGCTCTCCTTGCAGAGGGGTATAAACAGGCAAGGTCAAGCATGTCTCGGGTAGCAACTGTGGGTCTGCTCAAGTTCAGACAGACACTGATGGAAAATCCTAGAGACTTGCACCATAAAAATGGGAGGGCTGGTGGCGGGAAGCCTTTGAAGGACAGATATTATTAATCATTCACTTAAGTCATTCACTCAACAAATATTCATTGAGTGCCTACTATATGCCAGGATATCTTCTGCACCAAGAATAGAAGAGTGCACAAAACTATGACAAGGTTCCTTCACCATGGAGTAAAGATTCCAGTTGTGGGAGATAAACATCAAACAGAGAATCAAAGCAAAATATGCTAGGAGGGGCTGAGTGCTACGGAAAAAATTAAGCAAGTTAAGGGAAATAGGTTTGCTGGGAATGGTGGAGGTTGGGGCTATCATGAAACAGAGGTTATGAAACATTTTCATCTCAGGATCCCTTTATGCCTTTAAAAATGATGGAGGACCCCAAAGAGCTTTCACTAATGTGAGTTATTATTGACATTTACCATAAAAATGTTTAGAGAATTAATTTAAAAATAGCAATGAACTCATTGAAATTTATATTGAATTTTATATGATGTTGTTATATGACACGCCAATTTTATATGACATTTTAAAAATAATTAGTGGAAAGAATAGTATTGTTTTAATTTCTATGAATTTCTTTGGTGTCTGGCTTCTCGTATCTGATTCTGCATTTAGTCTGCTGTGCTATTGCTTTGGCTGAAGTAAATGAAGAAAATATAAACTCAAATAGGTAGTTTATAGTCAAAATTGTTGGTGCCATTTATGCCTACTGTTCCATTATTGGAACGCTAAGCATGTGGGAGTTATTTATATCCTACTGCTCAAGGCCATCACCAAGGTCTGATTTTTCAAATTCAAAAAATTGCAACCTCAGGCATAAATGGGTTAAAATGAGAGGGTTATTTTACAGCCTTTTCAGTTAACTGCGGATATTCTTTATTGACGTTAACAACAACAATTTTGAGTAGTAATGTTTTCTTAAAGTTGCTTGTGATATGAAATTGGAAACCTATTGATAAATTTTGCATACTCTTTTGCATTAAAATCCATTAGTCTGTCTTGCACTTTGAATGCTACTTTTTACTCATGCATGATTTTGCAACATCATGCATTTGGTTTTTCAAATGTTTACACATGTAATTGTATGATATCAAAAAACCCACCATTGACATCACTAGAAAAGTGTTCAAATATTTGCCACCGTCAGGGTCATCTTGGTGAGTAAAAGTTTTCAGAAATTCTAATTTCACCAGAAAACTGAAGTTTTATTAGACCACAAATACTATCAATTCTTTTCCTTGACATTACACACTCTCTCCTTTTATTTCAAGAAAAGCCTGCTAAATGACCAAACCTGAATACATATACTTTGTTAGCTAATTTTTCAAATAAAAAGGTAGTTCCATGAAAAAAAAAAGTGGCTAGTTCAGCTTGCAACTCAAATGATTGCACAGATGCTTCTTCTTGAGACAATCATTGTAGTTTGACATACCTTAGCTGTGGTGTACTTTCCATGTTGCCATACAAACTATTAAGAAGATCTGTACTCAAGGGTCAAGATTTAATAAAATTAATACTTCCACTGCTTCATTAGGACATTCTTGAACAAACAACAGTGGCTTCTGCTTACTTATTTATATATTGATTTATTTGAGTGTGTGGTAGCGAAGAATCAAATGACCACCAGACAATTAGATGCCACTAGTTGATTTATGCTAAGGACGGATGTTTTACTCACCATTGCTTTCGCACCTTTCATGCAAATATTAAAGGAGTGAAAATAAAAAATGTGATAGTATTTTTCAAAAAAACATGTTAACCTTGTGAACACCCAGTAGTGGTTCATGGATCTTTTTTTTTTTTTTTTTTTTTTTTGGGACGGAGTTTTGCTCTTGTCACCCAGGCTGGGGTGTAATCTCGGCTCACTGCAACCTCTGCCTCCTGGGTTCAAGCAATTCTCCTGCCTCAGCCTCCTGAGTAGCTGAGATTACAAGCACGTGCCACCATGCCCAGCTAATTTTTGTATTTTTAGTAGAGACTGGGTTTTGCAATGTTGGCCAATGATTCCTTAAGAAACACTACCATAAAAGAAAAATTTTGGATAACTCCTTTATTTGATTCGAGAATTGAATTTTACCTCACTGTTCTGGGAGATTAAATTGTCAATAAGACAAGCCAGGGATTTATCAGATATTCTGAGAATGAGACTTCCAGCAAATGTCCATAGTTGGAATTCCTTGCTGCTACTAGATCTTATTTCTCTGTCAGGTTTGTGATACTAGGTCTGTGTACCAGGATAACATCATCCATAACCTCAATTCTAAAACTGTATCAGCTAAGCTTCCTCTCCATTTATCCTTAACCAAATGTTCCCCACACTATTGATGGCTTCAGGCTGGTAGATTTCTCCTAAGTTGTGTATCTTCTTGATTTATAGTTGTTTTCTTCTGCATCTTAGATGAGATTAGATTTTTTTGTTGGGGGTGGGGGTAAGGTACATTTTATGCCCCTTTATCTTAGTCATGTGTTTGTGTTACCAACTTTTTGATTAAACTAATAGGATCTTATCTGTCTTCTGGGGTTAAATTTCAAATTTTTCTTGTTTATATTTTATCTCTCTGAAAACGTAAGAGTCAGTTTCAATCCTTTTCTCTTTTATGTTTTCTGGAGAATTGTGTAAACCTTCTTCACTGGCCTTCTGCTTTCTGTGCAGCCTCCCCTACGTGTCTGATGTTGCTTTAAGCATGTAGTAAAGAACTCAACAGGGAAACAGAAGGCCGATGTTGCAATACAGGCAAGATAGTGAACTAATGGCATTTAACACCTTCTCAGTATCTTATTTTCACATTCATAAAGTGCACAGTTGAGCTAGGTGATCTCTGGGCTCCTTTCTACCCCTATGAGTTCTTGTTTCCTTGAAGCGAATTTCCTGCTCTTAAAACAGAGGGTGTTGGAGAGTGGGAGATGAGGATGGTTTCTCTCAATTTACCAGCATATTCCTGAGTAACCTCTGCTCACCAGGCAGCATGTGTTCTCCTAGAAATACCACTGAAAGGTTTGCTTTTACTTAGAAGGAGTGATTTATCTTCTAACACATTATGAGCCAGGATGAGTTCACCACCCCCATCCCTGGATAATAACTCCAGTGGAAAATGATAGCTGTGTTCTTGCTAGGGCCTTTGCATTCATCCCTTTTGGGATGGAAAAAAAATCTATTAACATTAAAGTGGGTATCTAGAAAGTTACCAGCTTAAAACACTTCTCACTTATGGAAAAAAAGATGAATAACATGCCATTCAAACTCAGTTGCACAGTGACCATGCAGATGAATAACATGCAACTCAAACTCAGCTGCACAGTGACCATGCAGCTGATTTCCCTTTGGGTCAGCTGACCTGGCTGAGACTTCCTGGTTCACTGGCTCACACACAGACTCCTGACTCCTGCTGTTCATCTTGACCTCTTCCTCCTCATTTCTGGCTGAATGTCCCTTCACTGACCTTGCTCCATGTCTCCAATATGATTTTAGGTGAGGACTAAAGCTGTGTATCAACTTCACGTTCTTGTATTCCTATACCTATACTGTTGACAAGCTGCCCTCACTTAGCTGGGACTGCGCGATTCTGTATACAAATCCTCTGATCTCTGCTGCCTCCATCTGGCGAAGGTGGTCTTGGCCTTGTCATCCTATTTTAGGAGATCCATGTTTTCTACAATGGTCTGGGACTTAGGTAACTATTTGAGTTGATCCTCAACCTACAAATACAGAATCTTTGGATTGTCATTTCTGTTGTTTTGAGTGACAGGTTGAGTTTATGGTGGTCATGGTGTAACTCAAGAGAAGTAGAAACTCTAAGTATATATTATCACAATATGGTATAAAGCATATAATTTGGAATCAAACTGACCTGGTGTCAATATAGTCTCATTGACTATATAGATGACTTAAAACAGTTGATTCAATCTCACTGATCATTAGTTTCCTTATCTATAAAACGTAAATAATAATAGTTTGCAGGTTTTGAGGATTATGACATAAGACATGTAGTATTTTGCACATGGAAGGTTCCAGTTAATGATAATTATTAGCTTTACCATTGATAAATATATCAATTTCAAAAGTTTGGATAATTTATTTGTATAACACCATATGCTAATGATGAAGTCACATTACCTGTGTAACTTTGCATTAGTTCATGTGCATTCTCCTTATTCTCTGGAAAGCATGAAGTACTCAATGTTATGTAAATTTAACATTAGTGTAAGGGTTAAACAAAGAGGAAAGAAACACAAAAAGTGGCTCAACAGTCAAAGACAGGTTTATTTTGGAGAATAAACCTGAGAGGGGCTTCTGGCTGATTTCAGTCAGGAGCATTCTCTCTTGCAGACTAAGGATATTTAAGGGTTTAGGAAGAGGGAAGCTTTTTGTAGGTTTGGAATGTTTCCATGTGAAGGAAAGTTTACTGCGGGTTTGGAATGTCTCTGGTCGGAGGGGAGGCTGTCTCGGGGTCGGCATATTTCTGGCCAGAGGGGTGTTTATCTTAGGGTTGGAATGTTTCTGATTATGCTGACAATAGCCATTAGGCTGATGTTTTGGGGCTGGATTTAGGCAGTTTTTAAATAAAAGAGAACTTAAAATGGTGGTGTTTGTCCAAGATGGTGATGTTCCTGCTGTCAATTAGCATAAACAAAAGAGAATTCTGATACCCTGTTGGAATGTCCTCATTCCTCTGAGCTTCTCCACTCACAGGATAAATGCAGGAGTGGCTTCCCCTCATGGACACCTGCAAATGCAGAGTGTGGGGGCTCTCCTGGCCCTGCATCACTAGCAAGAGCAAAAGCTGCTCCGAGTCTTGTTTTTAGAACCTGGTCGACAGCTGGAGCAGAATTGATGCCTATGGCTCCAAGTCAAATACTGCTAATCTCATTTATTTTCCTGCCACCTAGTACTCTCCTCTGGAATCACACCATTATTGCCTGTTAACACTGGACTGTGAGTACCAGGCAATTAATTTGCACCAAGAAAGTTGAGGGTATTATCAGATATTGCAATCTGTACAGAGGGAAGAAGATTTCAATTTGATTTCAACTTAACCTTCATCTTTGTCTGTTAACACTAATAGAGGGTGTCTAATAAAATGGTCAAATTTGTGATCTCATTTGTTATAACTAGCACTCTTTTCACAGATGTGATGACTGATTTCCAGCAGCTGAAGGGAAGTCTTTTGGATTAACTTTTGTGATTGATTTGCTCTGGGTTCAGTCAGCCTGCAAGGCAGATGTGATGGTTGGAAATATAGAGTGTGTATCTTGGCGGATGAAAAACTCACTCATTCTCTTCCAGAGAGCAAGGTATTGTCATGACTTGGGGCAATAGTTCATCATATTAGAAACTAAGTTCCCTCCATGATATGAATATAGTTCTGCTTTCGTTTAAACTTTTAAGGAATTCACTCTCACTCCATTCCACCAATAATCAACTACCCCCTGTGAATTTTTCTCCTTTGAGGGTCATAATCTTCCCTGGTCAAACATAACTTCTGGCTTCACCACTTTGTCAGCAGTGAATGTGTATTCAAAAAATGATAACTAATTTACAATGACCCCAATAAACAATAATTGGAAGGTAAATCAGAGTCTGAAAAATGGTAACATATTCATACATCCTCAAATAAAACAGAATTGACTTTTTTCTATTCCCTACTATATAAAGATTTTGATGAAAATTTATCTAAGCTACTTAATTCTAAAGGACTCAACAAATTTTGGTTTGCTGGCCCTGTTCTATTTACTATTGTGGAGGTCCAGGTAAGCTCTGTGTCATCGGGTCATGTCTGGGCAAAAAGACCCAAGGAAAGTTGAGGTGATGGGTCCAACATCTTAGTCAAGGATGGAGTAGAGGCGGGATTTGAACCTAGACCTTCTAACTTCTAGCTCTTTCCCAAAGCAAACTTTTTCAATATCATTTTAATACACTTCTTAGTAAACAACATAGATTAATAATTTGGGGGGATTTATGTATTTAGATTTACTTAAAATCATTGGTTCAGTGTTAGTCTTATCCACCTGTTTAAATCATTAGTTAATTCATTATTAAACTCTTAATTGGAATTGATCCAGTGCTACAAATGAGAAAAATATGAAGAAAAGGATTTGCAAATAAGCAGCAGTCCAGATGTCTGCAGCATATGACATGTGGCTTGACTGTGAGTCATCATTGCCTATCTCTAGTAAGTTCTCACGTCATGATGAAAGTGATGCCAGCTCTAAGAAAATTGCACTAAAAGTAGAATTAAGATTATTAACATATTCAAGCCAGCATAGAGCACACTTGAGAAATGTGGTTTATGGGTCATGGAAAGCCAGAATTATGTAGAAGAGTGACGTAAGATTTGGGGGATGAGAGGGGCTACTTTAGATGCAAAGGGGACAATTAGAAGGCTACTGAGGTAATCCGGACAAAAAGTTGTAAATAAATCACGGTGGCAGTATGGTGAATAGTGGAGGGGGTGTATTTGAAGAAACTGGGGAGGCCGTGGGAGAGGCTGGCTAGTGAGAAATGGGCCGAAGGTGAAAGCAGCTTAGGGGCTGGTTTCCAGTTTTCTGGCACTGCAGACTGGGTGGTGGGAGGTGGCTTTCTCAAGAGGAGAGGTGAGTGGGAAGGAGCAGGGCTGCAGGGGAGGTCATGGTCTTGGGAGTGGTGCTCAGTCTGACTTGCACATAGGGGAGATTATTTTAGATTTCTGCAAGAAAATGGGGATTTCTTTTGGATTTCCGCAAGAAAATGTCCAGCATGTAGTCATATCAATGTGTCTGGAAAAAACAAACAAACAAACATGAGATTTAGCCCAAAAAAGAAAATGTGAGTCATCAGTATCTGGTGGAAATTGAAATGATGCAATTCTGAGGGAGAGATACCAAGGACAGAGCCAAGGAGGAACCTCTCCCCAGGATGCATCGCTTGAGGTCGGGATAGAAGCAGAACAGCCTTCAGGGAGGCTGAAAAGACACCGCGGCGAGGTGGAGGAAACCAGCAGGTGCGGCTTTGGGACACCCAAGGCAGGAGGGAAATGATGGATGACGAATGCCAACAGGGGTTATAGCCAAGTGAAACAAGGCTGCAAGCACACATGTGAATTGATAACCCAGTTTTCTCAGCTTGCTAAGGGTAATGAGGCAGTGGGGTGAGCAGTCAATGGAATAAGAACCAAACAGCAAATAAGAAAGTTAAAAAAAAAAAAAAAGGAATTTCTCAAACTGAGGGCTATAGGCCTTAGGAAGTCAAGGTTATTTCATTCAATCAATAAAACGATAATTCCCGAGCACCTACTATGTTCTACACATTGATCTAGAATCTGGAAATTTTGTGTTCACTCTAGGTGGAGACACAGACAATAAACAAGTGAACAAATTCATAACACAATGTAAAGGACTGACTAGAGCTAGGAAGGACATAAGGCCGTAAAAGGAATTAATATGGCTGGGGGTGATGTAGTCATATTAAAATATCTAAATCATTTACAGAAAGAAAAACCCAATATTACAAAGGTATTAACCCTGCCTACAACCAATCTATAAATTCAGTGCAATCCTATTCAAAATCCCAACATACTTCTGGGGGAAAACTTGACTAACTAAAATAAATGTGCTAACTAAAACACAAAGAGGGGAAAATAGCCTTAACAGATGTGAAAATGTATGATAAAGTTACTATGCTTTGCCGTAGCCACAGGGCCGTAATCTATGAAACGGAACTGGAAGACCCGTATGTATAAAAGAAATAAGAAAATGAAAAAGACGGCATTTTAGATCATTGAAGAAAGGATAGCTCATTCCAGAAATGATCCTGAGTTAATTGCCAATCTGTGCAGAAGAAAAAAAGTTATAGGCACTCTACCACCCTGATTCCTATCATTCGCCAAAATAAATACCAGTTGAAATAGAGGCAAAATTGTAAAAGAGGTGAAAATGTGAGAAAATATGTAAAAAGTAGAGAAGTTCTTAAACAGGCCATAACCATAAATTTTAAAAAGCAAGAGGCCATAAAAAATAAAAAGTAAAAATATAGAGGAAAATATTTCTAAATTAGACCCAATTAAAATTATGTAGAGTAGAGACAGTAGAGATAAAGCCCAAAGACAGGTACCCATTGGGAAGTATTAACGTCTGGAGATACTCAAGTTGCTGTTATCTCAACACAAGCTGAAAAAGACAGGAAACTCTGAAAATTGGGAGAGTGAGCTAAACTTAAGTCACAAGAGATATGGAGGCCCCGGACCAGGGCCACATGGATTACCAAGAGAAAACCACATGGGCAAGAATTTGGAAAGAGGCAATGGCAGAAAAACAGATAAAATTAGATCAAGAGCATCTTTCTGATCAATTGCTTCCTCCACAAGCCCATGTCAGGCTCTTCTTTATGGAGCAGCAGATTTGTGATGTGTGGATGGATCTGGGGGATTTCAGGGACAGGGCAGGATAGATGTGTGCAAGGTGCTGGCTTTCCCCAAGTAACCCTACGTTATGGCCCCACCATCCCAAAGGCCATTACCATGAAGAAGGCTTACTGGAGAGTTGACTGGTGGTTAGAAATTGGGGTTGCATGGTTTTAGATGCTAAGCTGGCTCCTTGACTAAACTACAAGCAACTTGAAAGCATGAATAGTGTCTTACATATGTTCCCAGGTCCTTCCATAATTTGGGATGCATTAAGCACTTAGTAAGCACTAGTTGAATAAAGGGGCAAATGAACACGGGAACCCCAGCATCCAATCCCTGCTTAACTCTTAAGGTATCTGGAACCTTGGGCAGTCGTGCAGGTCCCTTCCCTTTGACATGGCACCACCTGAAGGACAGTTTTAAAATGACAGCTGAAGCCTCTGAATATTTCCATGGAGTTGGTACTGCCAATTATAGCATCATCCAGGCTGCCCCTTTCTCATTTGCAGACATAGCACAGCACTGACTTGGAAAGATGTCAGTGGTGGAGAAGCTGACTCCACCTGTCAATGCCTGTCTCTGTGCACAGACAGGACTCCACAGCTCTGCATGTGCTAAGACCCAGTGTGGCGGAAGGAACTGCTGTTTGTTGTTTTTCTTCAGTAAAATGGTATGGGGGATATTCTTTGCTATGTTAGACTTAAGAGGTTGATCCCATATCTGGCAGATGGCATTCTCCAAAGGCGAAGCAACACACCTGAAGGTAATGTTCCAGTCCAGTCTCATAGTGATCTGAAGAAGAAGATAACTGGAATCAGGAGGTGTGGTGATTTACCAAATGAGCAGGTGTAGACTTTGAAAATCACTGATTTTAGAGTACATGACATTGCTATATGACAAGTTGACTATAATGATGTATTTGATTAGAAATAATCTTGCCAAAAGCAATTTGATCAATATTAATTACTTAGAAAACAAACTAAGAAATTGTAGAACTAGATAAAAAAATTCCATCTCCATATTTATATAAATATATTTATATACATATATTTATATAAAAATATATATATTTATATGTATATTTATATAAATATACATATATTTATACATATATTGATATATTTATATATACATTTATATATATAAATATATGTACACATTTATATATGTATACATTTTTATATAAATATATGTACATTTATATATTTCTACATTTATGTTTATATAAATGTACGTATACTTATACATTTATATATTTATATCAATGTACGTATATTTATATATTTATATATATTTATACCAATGTACGTATATTTATATATCTATATAAATATACCTGTATGTTATATAGGTATATTTACATATACGTATATGTTATGTAGGTATATTTATATAACATATTTAATATAACATATTTAATATATATACACATATTTACATATTTATATAAATATACATATATGTTATATGGGTATACTTACAAAACATGTTATATGGGTATATTAACATGTTATCTGGGTGGATTTACATAACATATGCTATATAGGTATATTTACATATACATACATGTTAAATATGCATATATGGATATTTACATATACATATATGTATATGTAAATATCCATATACCCATAACATATGTTATATATACCCATGTCTGTAAATATGCCCATAACATGTGTTATACATATATGTATATATGCTATATGTACATATGCATACATATGTATATTATATACATGTATATAATATACATGTGTATATATGCATACATATATATGCATACATATATACGCATACATATATACATATATTTACATGCATAGACATATCTATACATATATACATCCATAAATGCATATATATGTATATACATATATATGCATATATGTGTATACATGTACATGCATAAATGTATGCATATACATATATGTCTATACATATGTATATACATATGCATATATATGTATACATATGTATATACATATGCATATATACATGTATGTATATGTACATATATAATATAGGTATATGCATGTATGTATACATATGTGTACATGTGTATGCATGTATACATATGCATATACATACATGCATATGTATACATATATGTATGTATACATACATATATGTAGACATATATACATGCATATACCTATATTATATATGTACATATACATACATGTATATATATGCATATACATACATCTATATGTACATATATGTATATACATATGTATATCCACATATATACATGTATATGCCTGTATAGATGTATATATGTATAGCGTAAATATATGTATATTTACATATGCATATATACATATGTATGTATACATACATATGTACATGTATATAAATATATATGTATAGTATATATACGTATAACATGTTATGGGTATATGGGTATTATTTACATATATGTAAATATACCTATATAGTATATATGTTTTGTAAATCTACCCAGATAATGTATACATATATGTATACATCTATACGTATACATATATACATTGACATATATACACGTTATATATACATATATAACGTGTATATATAATACATATCTATATATAACATGTACATATTTGTACATGTAAATATACCCATATATTTACATATACCATATAACCTATGTTATATATACATATATGTAAATATACCCATATAACCTATGTATAAATATATCCATATAAAATTATATGTATATATAAATATAACTATATAACATGTTATGTAAATCTACCTATATAACATGTTATATACCTATATAACATATATGTATAAATATACCTACATTACATATATGTTATATAGGTATATTTATATATTAAATGTAGCTGTATAATATATATGTATATGTAAATATACCTATATAACATATATGTGTATGTAAATATACATATATAACATGTATATTTATATAAATATATGTATTATATTATGTTGTATAAATATACCTATATAACATGTATATGTAAATATACGTATATAACATATATTATATAAATATAACATGCGTTATATAAATATAATATATACCTATATAACATATACCTATATGACACATCTGTTAGGTAAATATACCTATATACCTATAGGTATATATACCTATATACCTATAGGTATATATACCTATATACCTATATACCTAAATATACCTATAGGTATATTTATTTACCTATATACCTATAGGTATATTTACCTATATACCTATAGGTATATTTACCTATATACCTATAGGTATATTTACCTATATACCTATAGGTATATTTACCTATATACCTATAGGTATATTTACCTATATACCTATAGGTATATTTACCTATATACCTATAGGTATATTTACCTATATACCTATAGGTATATTTACCTATATACCTATAGGTATATTTACCTATATACCTATAGGTATATTTACCTATATACCTATAGGTATATTTACCTATATACCTATAGGTATATTTACCTATATACCTATAGGTATATTTACCTATATACCTATAGGTATATTTACCTATATACCTATAGGTATATTTACCTATATACCTATAGGTATATTTACCTATATACCTATAGGTATATTTACCTATATACCTATAGGTATATTTACCTATATACCTATAGGTATATTTACCTATATACCTATAGGTATATTTACCTATATACCTATAGGTATATTTACCTATATACCTATAGGTATATTTACCTATATACCTATAGGTATATTTACCTATATACCTATAGGTATATTTACCTATATACCTATAGGTATATTTACCTATATACCTATAGGTATATTTACCTATATACCTATAGGTATATTTACCTAACAGATATGTTATATAGGTATATGTTATATTTATATAACATATATTTACTATATTTAAAATCCAATATATCAAATATAAATATATGTATATTTGGTATGTATCCAATATCCCAAATACACATATATTTATGGTATATTGGATATATTTATGGTATATTGGATTTTCCTCAACCTGTTGTGCATTTTTAAATATTTTCAAGTGAGAAAATGCTTTGGAAATTATGGCATTCTGGCAAATACCAAAAAATGTTTATTGCCAGATGATGCTCAAAGATAAAGAAACACATTAAAGCGTAGAAGAAAAGGAGAAATTAAGAATCAAAAAAATAAAAAATTTTGTCTACGGGAAAGAATATAGAAGAGTAATATTAAGACCACACACACACACACACACAGCAGGTTTGCAGATTTTTTCATTGGACATTTTTTTGCTTTATCTGTATTTGGTAGTTCTTCCAATAATCTAGTAAGGAAATGGACAGTTTCATTTACCTTATTTTAGAAATGAGAATAATGAAGGGTATGGAGTAAGCAACTTGCACTTTATACAGTTTTTAAGCACCAGACTTGAACTTATGTCCTTCACTATTCCTTCTATTGTATCATTCCAGATCTCCAAAATGGAAAAAGAACTAAACCAGAAGTCTGGACATTTGAATTTATGTCCTGGGTGTCTCTAAATAGAATACTTAACAGTACTTTTCTGGGCTCCTTACTTTCATTTGTCAGATATGGGAATAGAACTATTAGTATTTTGCAAAAATGTTTGGTAGCAAGAAACATTTCACACTGTGATACACACATGTAGCTGAAATGAAAGATTGCAAAACTCTGATATTTTTCTGGTCTAATCTATATTTTCTAAATGTTGGCCACGACCCATTAAATAGATTTCATGACCCACGAATTCATTACAGTTTTGGACTAGATAGATGAGCTCTTTTCCAACTCTCTTATCATATAGTTCTACATGTCTAGAGTGAATTTCTGGGACCAGGCCAAACTCACGGGTAGAAAAAGTACACATTTTGTTTGGAGAGATTGTCAACCCATCTGAGTCACTGCAGTTGATAAGAAAAATCAAAAGCACTCCACAGAGGTAACAAAATCACAGCAGGAGAAAACCAGCTTGCCTACTATCAACCTTCTCCAGCCCAACTCCCACACAAGCCACTGGGTCATCCAATCCAGTTCAAAGCAGTGACTTTCAAATAAGAGGGCTTAATAAAAATGCTGATGCATTACCTGCAGATACTCGTGATTTTATTTTTGAGATGCTTTCAGTATCATTCTGTGGGGAAAAGAAAGAGAGATCAGATTGTTACTGTGTCTGTATAGAAAGAAGCAGACATAGGAGACTCCATTTTGTTCTGTATTAAGAAAAATTCTTCTGCCTTGAGATGCTGTTAATCTATAACCTTACCCCCAACCCCAGGCTCTCTGAAACACATGCTGTGTCAACTCAGGGTTAAATGGATTAAGGGCTGTGCAGGATGTGCTTTGTTAAACAGATGCTTGAAGGCAGCATGCTCCTTAAGAGTCATCACCACGCCCTAATCTCAACTACCCAGGGATACAAACACTGCAGAAGGCCACAGGGACCTCTGCCTAGGAAAGCCAGGTATTGTCCAAGGTTTCTCCCCATGTGATAGTCTGAAATATGGCCTCGTGGGAAGGGAAAGACCTGACCGTCCCGCAGCTCGACACCCGTAAAGGGTCTGTGCTGAGGAGGATTAGTATAAGAGGAAGGCATGCCTCTTTGCAGTTGAGACAAGAGGAAGGCATCTGTCTCCTGCCTGTCCCTGGGCAATGGAATGTCTCGGTATAAAACCCAATTGTATGTTCCATCTACTGAGATAGGGGAAAACCGCCTTAGGGCTGGAGGTGGGACATGTGGGCAACAATACTGCTCTGTAAGGCATTGAGATGTTTATGTGTATGCATATCTAAAGCACAGCACTTAATTCTTTACCTTGTCTATGATGCAGAGACCTTTGTTCACCTGTTTATCTGCTGACCTTCTCTCCACTATTATCCTATGACCCTGCCACATCCCCCTCTCTGAGAAACACCCAAAAATGATCAATAAATACTAAGGGAACTCAGAGGCTGGCGGGATCCTCCGTATGCTGAATGCTGGTCCTCTGGGCCCCCTTATTCCTTTCTCTATACTTTGTCTCTGTGTCTTTTTCTTTTCCAAGTCTCTTGTTCTACCTAACAAGAAACACCCACAGGTGTGGAGGGGCAACCCACCCCTTCATCTGGTGCCCAATGTGGGGGCTTTTCTCTAGGGTGAAGGTACGCTCGAGCATGGTCATTGAGGACAAGTCGACGAGAGATCCCGAGTACGTCTACAGTCAGCCTTACAGTGCGCTCGGACGAAGCTAGGGTGACAATGGGGCAAATTAAAGGAAAACTAAAAATAAATATGCCTTTTATCTCAGCTTTATTAAAATTCTTTTAAAAAGAGTGGGAGTTAGAGTATCTACAAAAAATCTAATCAAGCTATTTCAAACAATAGAACAATTTTGCCCATGGTTTCCAGAACAAGGAACTTTAGATCTAAAAGAAGACTGGAAAAGAATTGGCAAGGAACTAAAGCAGGTAGGAAGGGTAATATCATTCCACTTACAGTATGGAATGATTGGGCCATTATTAAAGCAGCTTTAGAACGATTTCAAAGAGAAGAAGATAGTGTTTCAGTTTCTGATGCCCCTGGAAGCTGTGTAATAGATTGTAAAGACAAGACAGGGAAAAAATCCCAGAAAGAAACGGAAAGTTTACATTGCGAATATGTAGCAGAGCCAGTAATGGCTCAGTCAACGCAAAATGTTGACTATAATCAATCAATTACAGGGGGTGATATATCCTGAAACATTAAAATTAGAAGGAAAAGGTCCAGAATTAGTGGGGCCATCAAAGTCTAAACCACGAGGACCAAGTCCTCTTCCAGTAGGTCAGATGCCCGTAACATTACAACCTCAAACGCAGGTTAGAGAAAATAAGACCCAACTACCAGTAGCTTATCAATACTGGCCACCGGCCAAACTTCAGTATCGGCCACCCCCAGAAAGTCAGTATGGATATCCAGGAACGCTCCCAGCACCACAGGGCAGGGCGCCATACCCTCAGCCACCCACTAGCAGACTTAATCATACGGCACCACCTAGTAGACAGGGTAGTGAATTACATGAAATTATTGATAAGTCAAGAAAGGAAGGAGACACTGAGGCGTGGCAATTCCCAGTAACGTTAGAACCGATACCACCTGGAGAAGGAGCCCAAGAGGGAGAGCCTCTCACAGTTGAGGCCAGATACAAGTCTTTTTCGATAAAAATGCTAAAAGATATGAAAGAGGGAGTAAAACACTATGGACCCAACTCCCCTTATATGAGGACATTATTAGATTCCATTGCTCATGGACATCATAGACTCATTCCTTATGATTGGGAGATTCTGGCAAAATCGTCTCTCTCACCCTCTCAATTTTTACAATTTAAGACTTGGTGGATTGATGGGGCACAAGAACAGGTCTGAAGAAATAGGGCTGCCAATCCTCCAGTTAACAAAGATGCAGATCAACTGTTAGGAACAGGTCAAAATTGGAGCACTATTAGTCAACAAGCATTAATGCAAAATGAGGCCATTGAGCAAGTTAGAGCTATCTGCCTTAGAGCCTGGGAAAAAATCCAAGACCCAGGAACCGCCTGCCCCTCATTTCATACAGTAAGACAAGGTTTGAAAGAGCCCTACCCTGATTTTGTGGCAAGGTTCCAAGATGTTGCTCAAAAGTCAATTGCTGATGAAAAAGCCCGTAAGGTCATAGTGGAGTTGATGGCATACGAAAACGCCAATCCTGAGTGTCAATCAGCCATTAAGCCATTAAAAGGAAAGGTTTCCACAGGATCAGATGTAATCTCAGAGTATGTAAAAGCCTGTGATGGAATTGGAGGAGCTATGCATAAAGCTAAGCTTATGGCTCAAGCAATAGTGGGAGTTGTTTTAGAAGGACAAGTTAGAACATTTGGAGGGAAATGTTATAATTGTGGTCAAATTGGTCATTTAAAAAAGAATTGCCCAGTCTCAAATAAACAGAATATAACTATTCAAGCGACTACAACAACAGGTAGAGAGCCACCAGACTTATGTCCAAGATGTAAAAAAGGAAAACATTGGGCTAGTTAATGTCATTCTAAATTTGATAGAAATGGGCAACCATTGTCAGGAAACGAGCAAAGGGGCCAGCCTCAGGCCCCACAACAAACTGGGGCATTCCCAATTCAGCCCTTTGTTCCTCAGGGTTTTCAGGGACAACAACCCCCACTGTCCCAAGTACCTCAGGGAATAAGCCAGTTACCACAATACAACAATTGTCCCCCGCCACAAGTGGCAGTGCAGCAGTAGATTTATGTACTATACAAGCAGTCTCTCTGCTTCCAGGGGAGCCCCCACAAAAAATCCCCACAGGGTTATATGGCCTGCTGCCTGAGGGTACTGTAGGACTAATCTTGGGAAGATCAAGTATAAATCTAAAGGGAGTTCAAATTCATACTTG
The DNA here is from genome assembly GCF_000001405.40 of Homo sapiens. Lineage (NCBI taxonomy): Eukaryota > Metazoa > Chordata > Mammalia > Primates > Hominidae > Homo > Homo sapiens. The sequence continues at coordinate 6,830,378 of NC_000010.11, read as the reverse complement.
TGTGGTTGATTCAGACTATAAAGGCAAAATTCAATTGGTTATTAGCTCTTCAATTCCTTGGAGTGCCACTCCAGGAGACAGGATTTTTCCATTTTTACTCCTGCCTTATATTAAGGTTGGAAATAGTGAGATAAAAAGAACAGGAGGGTTTGGAAGCACTGTTCCAACAGGAAAGGCTGCATACTGGGCAAGTCAGATCTCAGAGAACAGACCTGTGTGTAAGGCCATTATTCAAGGAAAACAGTTTGAAGGGTTGGTAGACACTGGGGCAGATGTCTCTATCATTGCTTTAAATCAGTGGCCAAAAAATTGGCCTAAACAAAAGGCTGTTACGGGACTTGTCGGCGTAGGCACAGCCTCAGAAGTGTATCAAAGTACTGAGATTTTACATTGTTTAGGGCCAGATAATCAAGAAAGTACTGTTCAGCCAATGATTACTTCAACTCCTCTTAATCTGTGGGGTCAAGATTTATTACAACAATGGGGTGTGGAAATCACCATGCCCGCTCCATTATATAGCCCCACGAGTCAAAAAATCATGACCAAGATGGGATATATACCAGGAAAGGGACTAGGAAAAAATGAAGATGGCATTAAAGTTCCAGTTGAGGCTAAAATAAATCAAGAAAGAGAAGGAATTAGGGTATCCTTGTTAGGGGCGGCCACTGTAGAGCCTCCTAAACCCATACCATTAACTTGGAAAACAGAAAAACCAGTATGGGTAAATCAGTGGCCGCTACCAAAACAAAAACTGGAGGCTTTACATTCATTAGCAAATGAACAGTTCAAAAAGGGACATATTGAGCCTTCATTCTCGCCTTGGAATTCTCCTGTGTTTGTAATTCAGAAGAAATCCAGCAAATGGTGTATGTTAACTGACTTAAGGGCCGTAAATGCCGTAAATCAACCCATGGGGCCTCTCCAACCCGGATTGCCCTCTCTGGCCATGATCCCAAAGACTGGCCTTTAATTATAATTGATCTAAAGGACTGCTTTTTTACCATCCCTCTGGCGGAGCAGGATTGCGAAAAATTTGCCTTTACTATACCAGCCATAAATAATAAAGAACCAGCCACCAGGTTTCAGTGGAAAGTGTTACCTCAGGGAATGCTTAATAGTCCAACTATTTGTCAGACTTTTGTAGGTCGTGCTCTTTAACCAGTTAGAGACAAGTTTTCAGACTGTTATTCATTATATTGATGATATTTTGTGTGCTGCAGAAACAAGAGATAAATTAATTGACTTATACATTTCTGCAAGCAGAGGTTGCCAACGCAGGACTGGCAATAGCATCTGATAAGACTCAAACCTCTACTCCTTTTCATTATTTAGGGATGCAGATAGAGAATAGAAAAATTAAGCCACAAAAAATAGAAATAAGAAAAGACACATTAAAAACACTAAATGATTTTCAAAAATTGCTGGGAGATATTAATTGGATTCGGCCAACTCTAGGCATTCCTACTTATGCCATGTCAAATTTGTTCTCTATCTTAAGAGGAGACTCAGACTTAAATAGTAAGAGAATGTTAACCCCAGAGGCAACAAAAGAAATTAAATTAGTGGAAGAAAAAATTCAGTCAGCGCAAATAAATAGAACAGATCCCTTAGCCCCACTCCAACTTTTGATTTTTGCTACTGCACATTCTCCAACAGGCATCATTATTCAAAATACTGATCTTGTGGAGTGGTCATTCCTTCCTCACAGTACAGTTAAGACTTTTACATTGTACTTGGATCAAATAGCCACATTAATTGGTCAGACAAGATTATGAATAATAAAATTATGTGGAAATGACCCAGACAAAATAGTTGTCCCTTTAACCAAGGAACAAATTAGACAAGCCTTTATCAATTCTGGTGCATGGCAGATTGGTCTTGCTAATTTTGTGGGAATTATTGATAATCATTACCCGAAAACAAAAATCTTCCAGTTTTTAAAACTGACTACTTGGATTCTACCTAAAATTACCAGATGGGAACTTTTAGAAAATGTTCTAACAGTATTTACTGATGGTTCCAGCAATGGAAAAGTGGCTTACACAGGGCCGAAAGAATGAGTAATCAAAACTCCATATCAATCGGCTCAAAGAGCAGAGTTGGTTGCAGTCATTACAGTGTTACAAGATTTTGATCAACCTATCAATATTGTATCAGATTCTGCATATGTAGTACAGGCTACAAGGGATGTTGAGAC